>NC_000006.12:102343517-102495032 GCF_000001405.40 Homo sapiens | reverse complement strand
CAGGCATCCCTGGGGCCCACCCTGAGCAGATCCCTCTTGGAGGGAGCACTCATTGCCTAAGTGTCTGCAGCCCTTGGGACTTTGGAAATGAAAAGGCTTTTGGGGTCATGTAGGACAAGTAGTAGGCTAGATTTTATGATGACAGGAATGTTGGTTTCCAACTGAATTGACTCCTGTTTTTATGTTTCCTAGAAGGTGTAAATAGTCCTACCCACAGGCTTCATAGGTCCCACAAAGGGAGTCTGGAAGAAAAGATGTTTTATCCAGCAATTAAAGGCTCCCTGTATGCATGGACAAAAACTGCATTAGCCCCAGCTGAAAGCAGAGGAATCTTGACTCTTGACGTATACAGCAGAAAAGGGACAATGTATATCAGCCGTATGGGTCAGAGACAAAAGGGAAGAATGGACAAAAGTCTCTGAATACAAGCAGACCAATAAAGTCAAAACATGATTGAGGCATCAAAAGATCTTTGAAAGACAATAGGGTTAAAGGGTGAGGGACATGGAAAATGATGTCCTGAATCTAGGGTACTATTCTATCTAAAACTGAAATAATAGTGAGATCGTGTAAAGAGTCTGCACTCAGTGCCCACCGTTGAGTGCCGTATGTCTAAATTTACAGAGAAATTAAATCCCCATGCGTTGGTGCATGGGCAGTCAAGGCAATGGACCAAGAAGCAAGACAAGTTTCCACAGAGGGACACAGCTCGAGTGGGGGGCAGAATGCGGGGGAGCACAGCACAACAGTGGGCTTTACGAAGGTGATATGGATGCTTAAAATGAAGAAAAAAGTGTACAAAGGGAAGGTGGGGACACAATATAGAGAACACTAGTGGCGCTCTGGTTGACAAGAGACTGAAATCATATGTTTGAACAGCTGTTATTAGTAAGAAAAAGTAAAGATCTCCAGACATTGCACAGCCTGGACTTAAACCCTGCCACCCTCACAAGCCTCCCATCAGGAAGGGCCATGGTGGCCTAGATCTACTCGGTGTGGACTTTGAAGTCTTCCCACCTCTGCCTGTCACCTGTCAGGATGAACTGAGAAATCAGCCAGAGGGAGCAAATTCATAGAGGCTGAGGGGAATTGTTCTGGAGATTTACAAGCAAGTGAAAGAAAAAGAGGAAAGGAAAAAACTCAGTGATGAAAAATAGAATCTCTAGCCTTAAAGTGGTGAAGTTTTTCTTACCTGGTGATTCAGTCTACCAGTCCTACCTTCTGTGGTTACCAAGGTATGTTGTCAGTGGGCCGGTTCAGGTTCTTGACTTCGCCTCACAAAAGGAATTTCAGAGTGAGTCCAAAGTGAGAGTAGGCAAAGAAGCTTACTACAAAGTGAAAGTACACTCTGATAGCTGGGTCAGAGCAGGCTGCTAGAGAATGGGTAGCACTATTTGGTACTGGGGAAACTCCTTTTTTTTTACTTGATTTTTCCTGAAGGCACCAGAATGAGCGTTGTTGTTAAGCATGTTGTGGGTGGTCTTCTGGCGCCACATGTACAGTCACTGCACATGCTAGTATATACATCACATGTCTCATTAGTATGTTAACTCTCCACCCACAGGTATGTTTTTACTATTATAATGACCAAAGTTCACCATAAGGACATGGTTCTTTTCTACTGTGGATGCTTAGCTTTTAGGACTTTCCCTCCATCAGCCTTTCCTCCTTTGACAAGGAAGTTGCCAACTACAAGTGACCACAGATATCTGCCCTAGACCCTTTCTGGAACATACGTTTCTGACTGGAGGCATTGTGCTCATTTGTTTGACCTCATTTGTATGCTCTTATCCACCAGCAAGTAATCATGCCCCACACCCTCTCTAACTGCCTGCCTCAGTTGTAGTAGGCAAAAGGAGAAAGATGATGATGACTTAACCAGGAGAGGTGTAGGGAGGAAAGAAAGAGAAGATGTCTTATATTTTAAAATATTTTTTGTGTCTTTAAATAACAGTGTTACCACATTAAAGGAAAATTAATCATTATTAGGAATGAGGACAGAGGTTTTACGGATGTGAGTCCAGAGAGATCCTCTCAACACTAAATGGACAGCTCCTAACCATGCCTAGGAGCAAGAGAAGGAGATTTTGTGGAGACTACTACCTGCATGAATTCTGGAAGCATTCTACTCCCAGAGTAGAAAAGAAATACAACTGAAAATTCATGAACCTATTCATTCAGATATGAAAAACTGAGAAGTAGGAAAAATAGATGTTACGTTTGTAAACACTGTTGGTGACTTTTTCTTTCCCAGTTTTCTCCAATATTTTGAATAGTTTAGGAAAATAAACAGAATGAACAAGGACGTTGATAAAAATTTGACTTGTTTAATAAACATATCAAATTCTAGATATTTTCAATTGAGTTTCGTATCCATTCTTTTATGCAACTACCTAATACCAAATCCATTCAAATTATGAGATTTAGCTTTCATTTGTATTTCATAGGAATTTTCTGAATAACACTAAAAGCTTTTAACTTGGCTAGTGGCCAGCAAGTCCACCGCCATGTTTATTTAGGCAGATTTCCTTCTTGCATCAATTAAATAAAAAAAAATATGAAATTACCTGGAACTCACTGATTACTGTTAGTGTGTATGCATGACTGTATTGGAATACTTCTTTCGATAAGCCTTTTTATAGTAAGATTTAATTTGGCTCCAAATCAGGACAAAGCCTTTAGGAAAGCTGTTAAGTTTTTAAGGGAGATTTTTCCCTTTTCAATTTGATAATTACACATTAAAGAACAAAATCTCCAAGTGCTTCCACATTACCTTTTCCTGGCAATGGACGATGTTAGCTGTTTCTCAGGGGTGCTGTTGTGCTCTTTTTACTGGAGCACTTTAAATGATAAAAACACAATAACAGGCTCAAAGCAAAGACCAACCTCACCAATTCTCTGAACATATTACAATGTTAAAGACTCAGATGAAGAAAGAAACCCCTCTAGATCTAACTTCTCAAGTAAACTGCTCTCTGAGATATTGGCCCTAGGGACACTACCCTTATCTTCCATTTCGATCAGATGTCAATGTTAAATGTGCAACGCCCTTGGGGATATGATCAATCTAAATAATAGCCCCTGTGGGTTGAAAGAGGTTGGATACCTGCTTCATTTACAGTCTGTGCTCAGTATGTGATTGTTTCATTACAGTCCCCTGACTATTCCCTGTTGTAATATTAGCTGCCAAAGGATGAGTTTTTTCCAGACAGAAGCTAAGAACAAGTTCAAAGCCAGCTACTCTTACAATATTCAGGTACAATATTCAGCACAGTCTTTAGGCTGATTTTAGAGAGTGGTAAAGAAAGTACCTATGATGCCAGCCTTTATTTGTTCTCCAGTTTTAATCACATGAGAAAAATATAAAGCATTACTAAAGTAGGAGAGGAGATTAAAAAAGATACCATTTATTTGGGTTAGAATAGTCAGAAAAAAATTAAAAATGTTAGGACTTTCAGTTTCGGGGGGGAACTAATACAAGAAATATATTCATAAAATATCATCCAAATCCATATAGGAAAAAAATGAGAAAATTATGCGTCTTAATTAACAAAGGAAAGAAATAATTTGAAAATTATAAATAAAATTGCTTATCAAGCTGGAAATAATTCTGGAAAAGATTTCTGAGGACTTTAAAAAACATACATCCCCAGATGTTGGTAGAAGAAAATACTCTAGCACCTGTTTCTGAGAATTATCCTCATAATTTATGTGAAAATATAGCCAGTTAATAGATGATTAATGAAAGTCCCTATTATTTCACCAATTTTATAATTGCCACTGGCATAATGTCAACTTCTCTAAAAATTTTACATGATAATTTTTTCGTTTGCTTCATTAAAGTCTTTTATTGGGACTCTACCATACCACTTGTGTTTATGGTAGATAAAACCCAAAATAAAATGTTCAGAGTTTATTGACTAAATTATTACTGGCCTGAGGAAATGGTCTCTACTTGTTTCTTCTAAAACTTACTCATGGAAGTGTTAAATAGAAGACCTACCAGAGGCATTTTCGTATGTTAATAGAAAAAAATAACTAATTCACTTATAAATCTAAAAATTAAAATAAAAATCTCAAAACATCCCTGGAATGGATATTATCTTCTTTTCTTATTATGATAAATCATATAAAATACATTTTATCATTTGAAGAAATATTTTTTAAAAAGATTATCTCTGAATGCACATAATAACATGATTGTCTTACTACATTTTCAATCACCTACCTATCTCAACAAAGTTAGAGAAAGACACTGTGTAAGTCATAATTTTCTGTCCTTGCCAATTGCTCATGTAGTCAAATCTTCTGTTAAGTGATGAGAGCTACTGTGTGAAGGTTCCCTGCAGCACAGAAGAAGCCATAGAAGTGTTCTCAACACCTTTTGTTTCATTGGCTGATGAGGGTGTCACAGCAGTACTCAAGGTCTAGCAACTACCCAAAAAAATTTATATATAAAATTATATATATAATATATATATTATATATATACACACACACACGCGCACACACACACAAACACACATATATATCCCTCCCTCTAGTTATACACTCTGGGATTCCATTTCTTCCTATGTCTTTAGGTCTGAAGCATACATGGTCATAATCAACTACAAGAAGTTAATCTTGAGTGAGGAAGGAAACACAGTGAATTTTATTGATGATTAATCAAAGAAAGCTTCAAAGAGGAACTGATGTTTTACTTGAGACTTAAAAATAGTTTATTCTACACCAAGTAAAAAAGAGTGTAACTGCATTAAAAAAAATTAAACTAAAAGTTATTTTATATTATTATTTTGTATTATCTGTAGATTCACAGATTCTGCATTTTAAAAAATTAAACTGAAAGTTATTTTTTATTATTATTTTGTGTTTTTCTGGAGATTCACATGAAGCTGTAAGAAATAACAAAGAGATTCCATTTACCTTTACCCAGGTTCCCCAGATGTCAACATCTTTAAAACTATAAAACGCTGTGAACAGAATATTGGCATTAATATAGGCAAGATAGTGACAACTTCCATCATCAGAAGGATCCCTCATCTTGTGCTGTTATAGCCACACCCACTTCTTTCTCACTTCTACTTCCTCTGTAACTGGCAACCGTTAATCTCTTTTTCATTTCTATAGTCTTGTCATTTTGAGAATGTTTTATAAATAGAGCTTATCAAAGTACATCCTTCAATTTTTTTCACTCAGCATAATTCTCTGAAGATTGGTCTAAATTGTGTTTTAAATCAATAATTTCTTCATTTTTATTGCAAGTAGTATTCCATTGCATTGATATATACTAGTTTGTTTCCCTACTCACCTGTTCAAGGATATCTGGGTTGTTTTCAGTGTGGAGCTATCACAAGTAAGGATGCTGTGAACATTGATGTATAGGTTTTTATGTTAACATAACTTTTCAATTCTCTGGGATAAATGCCCAGGAATGCAATCTCTGAGTCATATGCTAGTTGCATGTTTAGCTTAGTTTTAAGATACAGCCAAATTGTTTTACAGAGTGGTTATATTATTTTACCTTCTCACCATAAATACATAAGTAGTCCAGTTGTTTCACATCCTTGTCAGGATTTGGTGTTGTAAATATATATATATATATATATATATATATATATATATATATATATATATATTTGCCATTCTGATAAGTGTGTAATCATGTTTTATGGTGATTGTAACTTGCATTTCTCGGTTGACAAATAAAGTTGAGTATGAGTTAATGTGTTTGTTTGCCATCTGTATATCTGTATTACTTCTCTCTTTTTACTTTCTGATACTTTGACATCTGGACTTTACTGACCCTGGAAAACTATCCCTCCTAGGGCTAGCCAATTCCTGGAGATACTAAACACAACCCATCTGAAAGTGTATCTTTCACACCAAACTAACCAATCCAGAGCCTGCCCACTCTACCTTCTCAATTAGGCTTGTAAACTCTGGACTGCTATTATCCTGCTCCAATCACTCCAGGGCCAGGTACTAGACATCTTAAGACAATACCTATATTCCAGAGCCCACTACAATTATTAAGACTAGTCAATTCACCAGCGTACTCTGGCTTGCTCATTCCTTCCCACAGAAACCACAAGAAAAACTCTTGCCAAGTTTTTCCTCTCACTCCCTGTGACTCCTAACAGACCCCACTGCTTGCCAATGTGGCTCTGCATGTACACTGCGCTTCCTCCTCTTGGGAACTGTGAGTGACAAAATATCTTTTTAGTGATAATCATCTCCTGATATGTTGGCTTCATCATATCTAAGAGTAATAAAATAATTTCTCTTTGTTGAATGTCTCTTTGTGTCTTTTTTTCCATTATCTATTATTTTTTGTCTTTATTATAGAGTTTATTGTAGAGTTTAGGGAGTTCTCTATGCTAACACGTTGTTGGATATGTGTCAGCTATTATCTCCAAGCTTATAGCTTGCTTTTCTTTTTGTCCTTTTAACAGGGTTTTCATGGAGCAAAACATTTTAATTTTGACAAAGTGCATTTTTTGTTTTTTTTTTTCCATTTATTGATTTTGCTTTCAGTGTCAAAGTTAAGAACTCTTTGTCTAGCCATAGGCCCTAAAGAATTTTCTCTTACTGTTTTCAAAAAGTTTTATAATTTTACACTTTTTTATTTAGCGTATGGTCTATTATGAGTTAATAAATGTATGATTGCTCTGGCTGTACCTGTTGGAAGGCTGTCATTTCTCCATTCAGCCATTCAGATGGTTTTGCACCTTTGCCAAAAGCCAGTGGGAGTATTTGTGCAGGTGTATTTCTTGATTCCCTCTTCTATTCCACTCATCTATCTATCTGTCCATCTAATTTTCCAATAACAAAATACTTGTTTATTTTATGAAATAAACTGCATAAAAAGCTATATAGTATGTGTTTTGGGAATGGGTAGACTGATCCCTCCCACTTTAGTCTCCCTTTATTTCCCCAAATATTTGTTAGCTCTTAAAGTTTTTTCTCTAATTATATGCAAATTAGAATGACTTTGTCTATATCTACAAAAAATCTTGCTGGGATTTTGATGGGAACTGTAGTTTGGTAACATTCTTCATCCAGTTGGGATCAAATCATAGCTCTCTGCCTGGCCTTTCCTGATACCACTCAAGCAAGGATGTTGAGGTATCTTTTCACAGCCCAATTAGTGTCAAAGTCCAGGCTCCCCACTCAGCTTTTGTTGATGTGTGTCGGGGTGGGGCCACACTTTTTCCGTGATGTTTGGGTAGAATAGAGTAGTTAGGTCTTACAATGTTTTGTTTTTATGTTTTATTTTTGTTTCCCTAGGAAACCCGTTTTGCTAGAGAGAACAGGTTTTTGAGGGGGAATATATTTTGTCTGAATTTGTTAGTGTTTCCAGATTGTCAATTTATTCAGCTCCAAGTTTGGAATAAATGAGGCAAAAACCAAACTAAAATAAAAAAATATATAACCTAGAAAATTCATCACCATTTATTTCCTCTCCTTCCCATCCCCCACTATGTTCCTGGCCAGTGTGGCTTTTTTCCTCATCTTTCAGAATCTTATGTTAACTTTCCATATGTCATTCAGGTTTTTTTGGTGGTTCATTTGTTTTGTTTTGTTTTTACACATATGGAAGAATAGGAAAAAGTATGTATAGTCCTTCTTTCTAGAAATGGAAGACACACACATTACAGATAAATTGATAAGGAAAATGTTGTACATACACAAAATGGAGTACTATTCAGCCATAAGAAGAACAACATCCTGTCATTTGCAAAAACATGGATGGAAACAGAGATCATCATAAAAGTGAAATAAGCCAGGCACAGAAAGACAAACTTCACATCTTCTCATATACTTGTGGGATCTACAAAATAAAACAATTGAACTCATGGAGATAGAGAGTAGAAGAATGATTACCAGAGGCTAGGAAGGGCAGTGGCAGGTGGAGTGGGGAAGGGAGAGAAGTGGGGATAGCTAATGGGTTCTAAAATAGTTAGAAGGAACGAATAAAAACTAATATTTTATAGGACCACAGGTGATTACAGTCAATAATGATAGTGATTTAATTTTACATTTTATAATAACTAAGAGAGTGTAATTGGATTATTTGTAACACAAAGGATAATGCTTGAGGGGATGGATACTCCATTAACTCTGATGTGGTTATTATGCATTGCATGCCTATGTCAAAATATATCCTGCACACCATAAATATATACACCTACTATACACCAACAAAAATTAAAAATTAAAATAAAAAGTATGTCTGGTTCTTCTTTCTGGAAATGAAAGTCACACACATTCTGGAGGTTTTAATATGATATTTTTAAGGCTGATAATCTATTTTTACATATGTACTCATTTAACTTTCAAACCTTTCTGAAATGAAATAAATGCTTCAGTCAAATGTGATTATATATTATAATATTCAAATTTTACAGTGCTCTGCCAAAATATCAAATATATCGGTCAAGGAATTACATGAACATATACTTCTGAACTTTTCACATAATGAAAGTACTATTCAAGAAAGAAAGACATGAGATTTAAGGAATAGTAGAATTAACCTAGGAAAGCAATAAAATTAAGTTTTAAAAAATGTCAATAATAATAACTGTGTATCAGACCTATATTGTGTGTTTAAGAATAGAATAGGAAGTTAAATAATTGTATACCCTCCAAATTAAGTCCCTTTTAAAATACTATTATTTATAATTTATATAATTTCAGTATAAAACTGGTGGGATAGTATAATAAATACTTAAATATGTCAAAATTGATAATAGAGTGGCTTCCTTTCCTCTCTTTCTTTCCATATTTGCAGTTTTATGATTACTCACAGAGTATTTTTATGACATATAAGTCCAACTTATCTGTTGTTTTAGATGCATTACTAAATTTTAGGTATATTGTAATATACGCACAATCCATTAAATGCTGATTATGGAAGAAATTAGTTCTTTGTAAGCTTTTTAATGAATAAAACATGACCTAGATAAAATTTAAAATGAAAAAAAATTTTGGACAAAAATGTCTTAAATAATAAAATAGGTAATGGTATTTCAAAATTTATCAAGAATGTAAAGTAATGCCTTAAAAAGGGTAAAATGTAAAGTTAAAGAAGAAACGGAAAATATAATTTGACTCATAATAAAAATGCAAATAGTATTCCCAAACCTAGCACTACCCCACACCTACCAAATTCCTCCTTTTTGAATTTTTTTAGAACATTGATAAACCATGTTTTCTGAAAAAAAAAAAAATTCTGCCTTGAAATTTTGCCATGCCATAGAAAATGAAGAAAAATTTAATTACACAGTCTACTTTGTTGGATTACCATTGAAAACCTGCTTTGAAAACCAGAGTCATCCATGGGCAATCTGGAGCAAAGTTAACTAATTATATTATGCAGGCACAATAGACTTAAATAAGCAAACAGATACCAGATGGCAATAAAAGGGCAATTATCAATAACTCAGCAAGAAAGAAGTCGCCCATATTAATTAAATCTATCAAACCAGTAGGTAGGAAAATAAATAAGTTAATTTGCATGCATCTTTAATTTCCAGATATATAAACATTTAGATAAAATATCCATCTATCTGTCAGTAGGCTTCCTGCATTACTCAAGACTGACATTCTATTTAAACACATTGGCCAGAGTAAAGGTTTTTAATTGATTAAAAATGAGATCTCAATTTATGGCTACTTATTTTGCTATATTATGACTAGCAGAAGACTATGTGGCACAGAAGGTTTTACCGTGGTCAAAATATAAAGATCTAAATATTCAATATGCTCTTGAAAATCTACAAGTATGATTAAGACCATGGTAAAACTTCCTGGAAACCAAGTTTTATCTCAATTGAATATCTACTTACTGTTATTGTCACAGTCTTCATCACAGTAGCAACATAAAAAGAATCAAAATATGACATTTGAACGGCAGTTTTGTGGGATCAAAAAGAAAACCATTTTTAAAAAGCTCATTTGGCAGCATTTGATTAAATTCAGGCCCATATGTTAGTTTAACCATGTATACCTGATGCTTTTTTGTTATGGTAACAGTAAAATCAGTCTTAGAAAAGTTGTAGAGAAAGATTCAATTTGGATAGTAGCTATACTTTCACACTGACTGCTATTTAGTTACAAGTTTATTTTCTGGTCATGATCATGGGAATTTTTTTTTCATAGAAATATGTTTAATTAACCAAAACAAGTTGAGCTAGAAAGAATATGAATGAACTTATGTCAGACTAGTTAGGCTTAATATCTGGTCATTAATAAGAGAGTGTGTGTAAAGTTAAATAAGCCAGGCACATAAAGACATATTCCTCATGATCTTACACATACGTGGTATCTTAAAAAATTGATCTTACAGAAGTAGAGAGTTGAAAAATGGTTGCTAGAGGCTGGGATGCATGGAGGGGAAAGGGAAATGAGAAGAGGTTGGACAATAAGCACAAAGTTATAATTAGATAAGAGGAATAAGCTCTAGTGTTTCATTGCACACTGGGGTGGCTATAATTAGCAATAATATATTGTATATTTCAAAATAGCTAGGAGAAGATTTTGAATGGTCTCAACACAAAGAAATAATAAATTTTTGAGGTGATGGATATCTTAACTACACTAATTTGATCATTCCACATTGTATACATATATTAAAACATTACACTGTACCCTATAAATATGTACAATTATGTTTTAATTAAAAATGAAACCAAACCAAACAAAAAAAGACAGCTTGTATTTATGGCCCAAGAAGCACTATTTGGAAAACTAATTGTCTTTTGCCTGTAATCTAATATAAAATGATATTTCAAAACCAAAAGTAACCTTGAAGACAAAGAACTTATGACACAGAAAGTTAACATTGAACATGATGAGGTCATGGGCTTAAGTTCAATCTAAAATTTGAAAAATGTAAAAGCTGGATTTAATAATGCATGGTCATTTGGATCAACGTTAACAAATGCCATTGTTTACAACTTACTCTGCCAGTCATTAGGATAAGGTAGTTTCATTTAAATCTTACGTTATGTGGCATATTATGTATTAGTGCAGTTTTTTTTCCCGTCAACTTAGGATTCAGTCTTACTACCTAAGGAGGATGTTCATTAAAGACTGTCATATAAACATTGAGAGGAATTTTGAAATCTACACAATGATTTAGGTGTTTAGCTGCCTAAAATTTGAGATAAACCTTCCTGTAAAAACTTACTGGATTATTGCAAAGTGGACTTGACCAAGTTAGTTACTTCTTACTTGGAAAATATTTATGGTTACTGAAAAAGATATCTACAAAGTGTATTTGCATTACCCCATTTGATTTCCTCAACATTACTTTGAGATAAATGAATTGTATTAACCTTGTTAAAACACTCAGAAATGGAGGCTCAAAATTTAAATAATTATCCAAATCTGTCCAACTTGAATGTGATAGGTTTAGGTTTATGCTTAATATTCAAATGACATTTAATGCCTTCCTTTTGAAAACATTTTTATGTTCATATATTTTTAACAGCAGAAAATCAGTATGTTTAATGAAACTTATTATTTATATTATTATTAGTTTAGAAAATACCTCTGTAAATATTTAAAATAGTATAATTTATAATCACCAGAAAATATAAACAACCCAAACATCTATCATCTGGCATCTGGTGAGGGTCAGTACAATGTGGGACATTCACATGGTAGAATACTACTCAGAAATAAAAAGAACCGACTACCAGCAAACTCAGCAACATAGGTGAATCTTAAATTTAAGCCAAACTCAGAAGTGAAGTGCGAAGGTTACCTATTATGTGTTCTATTTATATAAAATTTTGAAAATGTCAAAATTACAGAGACAGAAAAGAAATCAGTAGGTGCCACAGGCTGTTATCGGAGGAATAAATTGACACTAAAGTGGCAGAGAGGAAAGTTTTTAATGGTGATGGAATTATTCTAATTCTTTATTGTTCCAGGCTCCATAATTGTGTACATTTATAATGACTCATATAACTGTGCATCCAAAAAAGGTAAATTTTAACTGTAAATTCTATTTTGATAAATCTGAATTAAAAATTATATTTGTAAATTTTCTGAGTAGATGAAGATATGCAATTTTGATAATTTTTATATCTAAAGTGGAGAAATACATAATATTTTGATCTAAAAAAAGCCAGCCTCAAACATGTTCATTGACATCATTAGCAGATTTTTATTTAGAATTAACTATAGATTTGAAATATATTTTAACACAAGAAGAAATACATCAATTATAAATCTTAGTAAACAAGACAATTTTGAAGTTATTTAAAATTGTGGGTTTACAAAACATATTTTTAATTTTTTGATACAAAGTTGGTGTATATATTTATGGAATATGTAGGATATTTTGATACAGGCATACAGTGTATAATAATCACATCACGGTAAATGAGGTATCCATCACCTCAAGCATTTATCCTTCATAAACAATCCAATTATACTCTTCAGTTATTTTAAAATGTACAATTAAATTATTATTTAATATAGTCCCCCTGTTGTGCTGACAAATACAGGGGAAAGGCATCTTGAAAGTTCTACTTGGTCATTTTAGTAATGAATAGCTTATAAAATCTATAGGAAAATAAATTTTATTCTGAATCTTTTGCTCAATTATTACCCCTTTATGAATCACCTGTGTTTGTTATTGCATACAGTTTCTCAGGGTTTTGATGTTGCCTAACTTTCCAGCCTTATGCATCTTAAGTTCAAATCACTCCCATAAGTGCTATGTTCTCTTTCACTCCTATATCCTATGCTTATTCTTCCTTCTACTATCATCCTTATGTCCTCAAAGCTTTCTGGTTAACTTTTATTCATATTTCAAGATTCAACTGATATCATGGACTCTGCAAAATACTATCCTGATGCCTAGTCCCCAATCTAAATAGGGTTCCACTGCATTAGCAAAACATTCTCCTTCAATCAAAATCATATAATGGCTAATTTTTTATCCCATCACCCACCTACCCAAGATCATGAGCTCAAAGAAATTCGGGACTGTATATTATATTATATTATATTATATTATATTATATTATATTATATTATATATTATATTATATATTATATTATATTATATTATATTATATTATATTATATTATATTATACATTTATTTTTTTGAGACAGAGTCTCACTTCATCACCCTGGCTGGATTGCAGTGGCGCGATCTCGGCTCACTGCAACCTCCGCCTCCCGAGATCAAGCGATTCCTCTGCCTCAGCCTCCCGAGTAGCTGGGTTTACAGGCATGTGCCCCCACGCCTGGCTAATTATTTGAATTTTTAGTAGAGACGAGGTTTCACCATGTTGGCCAGGCTGGTTTTGAACTCCTGACCTCAAATGATCCACCTGCCTCGGCTTCCCAAAGTGCTGGGATTATGGGCGTGAGCCACTGCGCCCAGCCAGAACAATATTTTCTTTTCATATTTCAGAGGCTAGCTTAGTGCTAATTTTTTAGTTTCATGTTTGTTTAGAAAGATACATATCAATGAGCAGTTAAGAGTATAACACAAAAATAATGAGTTTCAAATTGGTGATGTATTGTCTACACCAGAAAGAATAATTGAGATAAGCTGTTCTTTTAGAAAATAGTTCTTAGACAAATATGTAGATTCATAGATATATATTACATATATAATATCTAAATTAAATGTAAAGAAAATGGTTTAGCAAAAAATTAACTTCAAAGAAAATATTACAGAGTGTTACTAAGATGAGAACCTCACTAGAAATGTCTTAACTAGAGCATGTACATATACATTAAAAAAAAAGACTGGTTCGTTTTATCATACTATATCCATATAAAAGTTTTACACAGAAGAGATTTGGTTACTAAAGTTTTTGGAATTATTAGAGCTTTAAATTTGAGAACTATTAGGACAATTTCAGAAAGGGAGAGGATAAAAATAAGTAAATAAAGGCTCATTATTTTGAAAGTTTTAAAAAGAAAAGAATTGGACCAATACTGTAGTTGTGAATTACTTTAGCAGTATATCTAATACAAAAATATGTGATACAAGTAGATTAGTGTATTATGATATTTCTGACTTGTTTAATGACATAGTTTCTAATTGTGACATGTGCTCCTTTAAGTTGTCTATAGAAAAATGATATTTAATCATGCTTGAATTTTCTACTAACTTTCTCCACTGCCCTATTATCTTTGTCATATTATGGACATGATCTTAAAATGTGTCAATCACTGTACAACTACAGCACCTTTAACTTTAGAGTTATTCTTTTGATACATTCTTCATAAGACTGACATTAATTTCTCACTCTTGGAGTATTTGAATTCTGAGAAAAAAAGTCAAATATTTACTTTTTAAGAAAATATTATGTCATATTATTACACTTAAATAGAAATCTCAAGATCAAAATAATTTAGGATCTAAGAAAATACTAATATCCTGTCAATGGTAATGTTACCCGCATGCCATCATCAGCGGGAAAGTAAGACAAGTGACCTCAAACAATGGCATAATTATTTTTTTACTACGGTCTATCTTCTGGTCTTTCAGTTTATGAGATTAAAACATAATTAATTTATATAAACACAATTCAAGATATTGATATATGTAATATCAGAATAACAAATCAGAAATGAGAGATTCTACTCATTGTCAATATGATAAATGTGTACATTCCTCTGTTAATATATTTACGAAAAGGAAAACATTAACTAAGATTGGAGTACATGAGGAAGGATAATTAATAAGTATAATGTTTAATAAAATCTCTAAGACAACAATGCGGATACTTTAAAATATGTATTGTTCTGCCAATATGGCAAGGGAAAACCTAGATAATGAATATACATGCCAATGGAACTGAACGACCAAAGTTTTATTTGCTAAAGCTGCAAGACTCTCTGGAGAAAGCTTGGATAGGAATAGTCATTATTAAGCTGAGACTCTTCTTTTTTACATTCCACGGTAACTAAGCCCCCTTTATTTTGATAAATGTTCTCTTTATGCATATTGAAATATTTAATCAGATTGGATTCCAATTTTCTTAGAATAGAAACTAATTCTGTCCATTTTATGTAAACATTGAACCAGGCAAGCTATTTGGGAAAAACACTGTGTTTTGTGATATTCCATAGAGCATTGTAGCTAAGATCATAGATGTCAGGATCAATTAAATCCTTCCTATTTAAAACAATTTAATTGCTGTGTGGATTTCAGCAAATAATCTAACATATTTCATCTTTATTGATGTCATAAGTATAATGAAATAAGAATAGTATCTATATCAGATCATGTTTTTTAAATGGAATGAGATAATGCTTGCGAATGTACGTGGCACATAATAACTCCTGGATAAATATCAGCAATCATTATCATGGACATTGTTAATCTATGCCAGTGAAAGTGTTATTGAATCCCAGAGAGATACTTCATATCAGACAAACAGACACACCTCATTTTATTAAGCTTTGCTTGTGCTTCACTTTTTTTTAAACAAATTGAACGTTTCTGCAACCTGTGTCAATTAAGTCTACAGACAACATGTTTCCACTAACATATATTTACTCCGTGTCTCTGTGTCACATTTGGTATTTCTTACAAAATACTTCAAACTATTACTATTATTATATCTGTTATGGTGATGTGAGATCAGTGATCTTTGATGTTACTATTGCAACTGTTTTGTGGCATCACAAACTGTACCCATGGAAGGCGGTGAACTTAATCCATAAAATTATGTGGTCTGATTGCTCCACTATACAGCCATTCTCTGTCTCACTCCCTTTCCTCAGGCTTTCTTATTCCCCGAGAAACAACGATACTAAAATTAGGCCAATTAATAACCCTACAATGATCTCTAAGAGTTTAAATGAAAGGAAGAATCACACATCTCTTACTTTAAATGAAAAACTAGAAATGATTAAGATTAGTGAAGAAGGTACGTTGATATCCTAGATAGGCAGAAATGCAGGCTTCTTGTACCAAAAAGCCCAGTTGTGAATGCAAAGGAAAAGTTCTTAAAGGAAATTAGAAGTTTTACTTCATGAACACATAAATGATAAGAAACAGTAATAGCTGTATTGCTGATAGGGAGAAAGTTTCAATGGCCTGAACAGAAGATGAAACCAGTCACAACATTTCCATAAGCTAAAGCCTAATCCACAGCAAGGTCATAGCTCTTTTCAATTCTATGAAGCCTGAGATAGGTGAGGAAACTGCAGCAGAAAAATTGGAAGCTAGCAGAAGTTGGTTCATGAGGCATAGGGGAGAAAGCCCTCTTCATAACATAAAACTGCAAGGTAAAATAGCAGATCTTGATGGAGAAGCTTCAACAAGTTATCCAGGAGATCTAGCTAAAATCATTAATAAATGTGGCTATACTAAACAACAACATAACAAATTTCTTGCAGATGAAACAGGCTTCTATTGGAAAGAGGATGCTATCTAGAACTTTCATAGATAGACAGAAGTTAATACCTGCTTCAGAGAACAGCCTGACTGTCTTGTTAGGGGCCAACACAACTGGCAACTTTACGTTGAAACCAATTTTAACTCACTTAGCATTCTGAAAATTCTAGGACACTTAAGAATCATGCTAAATCTACTGTACCTATGTTTTACAAATGGAACAACAAAGCCTGATGATAGCACAACTGCTTATAGTACAATTTTTTGAATATTTTAAGCCCATCACTGAGATCCACTGCTCAGAAAACAAACGCCTGTCAAAATATTACTGCTCATTGGCAATGCACCAAAAGCTCTGATGGAAATATAAAGAGACTAAATTTTTATGCCTGCTACTACATCCACCTATTCTGCAGCCCAAGAATCAAGGAGTCATTTTGGCTTCCAAGTCGTATTAGGAAATACATACATTCTATAAGGTGATATCCCACCATAGGTAGTGATTCTTGTGAAGGATCTAGGCAAAGTAAAGTGATAACCTTCTGGAAAGACTCACGATTCTAGATACCAACAAGAAAATTTGTAGTTCATGGGAGGAAGTCAAAATGTAAACATTAACAGAAGTCTGGAAGAAGTTCATTTCAATCATCCTTCTGGATGTCTTTTGGGGGTTCAACACTTCAGCAGAGAAAGTAGTGGCAGATGTGGTGAAAATAGCCAAAGAACTTGAATTAGGCGTGGAGCCTAAAGGTATGACTCAATTGCTGCAATCTCATGATAAAATTTGAATGGCTGAGAATTTCTTCTTATGGCTCTGCAAAAAAGGTGGTTTCATAAGATGTAATCTACCCATGATGAATATGTTGTGGAAGTTGTTTATTCCAGGAATAAAGCCTACTTGATCATGCTGAATTAACTTTTTCATGTGCTGCTGGATGTATTTTACTAGTATTTTGTTGAGGACTTTTGCATCTATGTTTATCAAGGATATTGGCCTGAAGTTTTCTTTCCTCATCATGTCTTTGCTAGATTTTGGCATTAGGCTGATTCTGGCTTCATAGAATTAGTTAATGAGAGTCCCTCCTCCTCGACTTTTCAGAATAGTTTAAGTCAAAATATTATCAGTTCTTCTTTATATTTCTGGTAGAGTTTGGCTGTGTATCCATCTGGTTTAGGGAATTTTTGGTTGGCAGGGTTTTTTTATTACTGATTCAATTTCAGAAATCAATACTGACCTATTCAGAGTTTCAATATCTTTCTTATTCAAACTCAGGAGATTGTATGTTTCCGTGAATTTAACCATTTCCTCTAGATGAAGGATGTTCAATCTTATAGCTTCCCTGGGCCACATTGGAAGAAGAACTGTCTTGGTCCACACATAAAATACACTAACACTAACAATAGCTGAGGAACCAATCTCTTAATGTTTTAAGAAAGTTCACAAATTTATTTTGGGCCAAATTCAAATCTGCCCTGGGCTCATGAGGCCTACAGGCCGTGAGTTGGAAAAGCTTGCTCTAGATTTTCTAATTTGTGTGCATAGAGTTTTTCATACTATTCTCTGTGGATCTTTTGTATTTCTGTGAGATCAGTTGTAATGTCATCATTGCCATTTTGACTGTAATTATTTGGATCTATTTGTTGTTGTTAATCTAGCTAATGGTCTATCAATCTTGTTTTTTTTTTATAACCAATTCTTGGATTCGTTAATATTTTGTATCTCAATTTCACTTTTGCATCTAAATTTCATTAACTTATTTTCAAATTTTAGTTATTCTTATTCTTCTGCTAGTTTGGGAGTTGGTTTATTCTTTATATTCTGGTTTATTTAACTGCAAATTTAGATTGTTAACTTGAGATCATTCTAACTTATTGATGAAGTTGTTTAGGGCTATAAACTTTTTTATTAATACTCCTTTTGCTGCATCTGAGAGATTTTGGTACGTACACAATTTTCATCAATTTCATTTTTTTATTTTTACCTTAATTTCAATATTCATCCAGGAGTTATTCAGGAGCAAGTTGTTTAATTTCCATGTTTTGGAGGTTTTCTTGATGTTAGTTTCTATTTTTATTGTACTGTGGTCTGAAGGTTTTCTTGATATGATTTAGTTTTTTTTTAATTTATTGAGACTTGCTTTATGTCTGAGCATGTGGTCAATCTTAGAATATGTTATATGTGAACCTGAGAAAAGAATGTATATTCTTTGGTTACTGGGAGGAGTGTTCTGTGGATGTCTATTAGGTCCAATTACTCAAATATCAAGTTTTAAGTCCAGAGTTTTTTGTAAGTTTTCTACCTTAATAATCTGCCTAATACTCTCAATGGGGTGTTGAAGTTATTATTGTGTGTTTATGTATGTATTTTCATGGGCCAAGAAGAACTTATTTTATAGATCCAAGTGCTCCAATGTTAGATGTTTATATATTTAGAATAGGTAATTCTTGTTGGGTTTTACCCTTTATCATTATGTAATGCCCTAATTGTCCTTCTTAATTTCTATTGTTTTAAGAAAATAATACAGTAGTTACAACTCTTGTTCTTTTTTGTTTTTCTTTTGCATGGCATCTCCAAAGACTGCAAACTTTAATGACTGGCTCATAAACTACAAATACATTGAAGAAATCCAGAGTAGCCCATCAAAAGGCAAAGGATTTTAACATCAGAAAGTGAGTTTCCAAATTAAACACAGCAAGTAAATAACTTGAAACAATTTGGTTTCTTTTTACTAAGAAAAGGAAAAGATTTAAACCAGAAACTTCTAACTTACCATTTATAACTTGAATGATATGATCTAAACTTAGCATTATATTATTAAAACAAGATAAAATTAAAAGGTGAGACTTGTTCTCAAGAGAGAAGTAAATCAACTGTGTCAAATATTAAGAAGCATCTTATTTTCTGATTAAAGCTAGGAGGACTATTATAAAGCACGATTATAACTATCTTCAATGAGTAACACAAAACATAGTTTCAACACATGAAAATCTCCTCACAGAAATAGCAATCAGGAGAGAAACAAAAACAATAAAAAATGTATCTTGGTGGATGTATGAATAATTTGATGTTGGATATATTCCAAAGAGTAGAACTGCTGGGTTGTGGCTCCTGCCTACATTCAGTTTTAGTACAGGTTTCTCATCTATCAGATGTACATGAAAGTTTTCATTATTTCTATATCTATATCCTCAGCAAAACTTAAGCATTTGTTTTGCATAATAGGTACCTAGCATCTCATTTTGGTTAAATTTTTCATTTTCTGAAGGACTAATTATAGTAACTTTTAATAAGCTTTCTGGTAATTAAATGTGTTATTTTGTGATGTCCCTCCCAAATAATTTTCCAATTTTTAAAGATTTGCTTTCTCCACTTTTTTTCTGCAGAAGAATAGCCTTTTTGATATGTACATTAATATTTGATCATGTCACTTCTGGAATGTTTTCTGATTTGATAAAATCCAAACTTTCAAATATGGCTCCTAAGTTGTGACATAATGTGGCATTTCATTTGCTATCCAAGTTCATCTCTCACTCTGCCCTACTTGCACTTAACTCTACCAATTGTATTGAGGTTTCTTCAATAAACTGAATTATCTGTGCACCTCTGAGTCCTCTATGAGTAATAAGTAGTGCATATAAAGACTAGGCTTGATCAGACACAAATTTTATGTACCTTCTCAAGTTCTGCAACAACCTTTCATTTCCAAAGGCACAGTGTGAGTCTCACCTTGGAGAAGCTGCCCAAGCTGGTTGGAGTTTCCCCAGCTAGCATTCCCTGAATGTCCCACATGATGGGTGGAGTCACTCCTCCACTGCCACCTGAATAAAAAAGCACACCACACGATAGAGTATAGTGACCACTGCAATGAATCATTCATATACCCATTCCAAAAACAGGAAACATTTCTTTAGAGGCTGTACCTATTGCCTGCTAACAACAAAGCTAAGGCTAATCTGGGTATGAGTGCTGCTTATAATAGAAAGCACTGCCTACACAAAGGTTACACATTCACCCTGTTTGCAGCCTGTGTCCAATGCCTGGTTGATAGAGAAATACTAAAACCTGGCTCCTTTTATTCATATCATGATTACTGTGAATGGCGCTATAGCTGGGCTGAGTATTCTGTTGTAATTGCATAGCTTTTCTACTTCCTCTTTCATAATTGTTTCTGAGAGCACTACCAAAGAAATTTCCTGAAAGCAAATTTCCTTCTCAGCTTCTGTTTTCTGGGGACTCTCATCTATACTCTTGAGCATCCATAGAGGGTTTTGACGATGCAATGTCATTATCAAATTTAGTGTAGTAGAGTTTGCTCCACCTTAGGGTTAACTTTGAAAATGGGAAATGAAGGTAAGGAAAGAGCTTAGCCAGTGTCTCTCCCTTCGCCCTTATCTAGATTTCACCACAGTGTGGTTTCTCCTTGTAAACTTCAGTACATTTCTCTTCACGGCTCACATGGTCATCTTTTATCATCCTGTGGCACTCTTTCTATTTCATCTTGGCTCATATTATCTTTCCCCCTCCACTCTCTGTATTCGCACATCCAAAACAATAATTATGATAATGATCAAGACTTAACGTTCTGCTTTACAGAGGACCTGAGTTAGGACAGCGACTTTTAGAGTGCAAGTAGAAATATTCTCATTTCTTTCCCACCCACAAATATCTGATAATATCACTGCCCCTTATGTAACATCTGAGACTGGCCTTAAATCTGTTCAATTACCTTGAGTTAATTAAAAACCTTTTGACAATGGCGGTAACAATATATATTTTTAAGAATCCTCTATTTGTGCTTGTCTTGTCATATTTGTACTTCTACATATGGTACACAATACTTTTGCATTAAATTAAAATAATGATAAAGACTTTTAAAATGTATATGTAGATATATACAGTGTCTGATGCTCATCTTGTAGATTTGTGCTTTCATCTGGTTATAGTTGTCATTAGCCTGAAAAACTTATTTTTAGCATATCTTTCAATGGAGATGTGCTAGAAAGAAATTCACACTGCTACTCTATGTCCAGAGAAAAAGAATCTTAATTTTGTCTTCATTTTCCCTCCTATTTTATAAGGTATTATTTACATATAGTAGAATTCATTACTTTTAAGTAAACAGGTTAATATATTTTGGTAATTTTCTATAATTACGTTACCACACCTAAAATCAAGATATAAAAATTCCCTCACTCTAACAAATGTTCCCATGCTCCTTTTCACTTTTCAGGTTTTGGGCAACCGCCAATTTGCTTTCTGTTTTTATTGTATTTTTTTCCTAGAATCTAATGTAAATGGAATTATACAGTATATAAATTTTGCATTTTTCTTTTCTCAATTAGCATACTCTCTTCTAGAAAGATCCATGTTGTTTGAATGTATGTTTCATTCATTTTTTTTTACTGAGCACTATTCTAAAGAGTAGATATGCAACAATTTACTAATTTATCTCTTGTTAGACATTTGAGTTGCTTCTAATTTGGGTTATTGTGATTAATAATAAAGACATTCGTACTTATACCTCTTTGTATGTACATATGGTTTCTTTTCTCTTAGCTAAATACAAAAGAATGAGATTGCAGGGCCATATGGTAAATTAATGTTTAATTTTATGAGGCACTGCCATACTGTTTTCCAAAGTTGCACCATTTTGCATTCCCATAATTCCCATCATCAATGTATATGAATTATATTTGCTTCGTATCATTGGTAACACATGGTTTCATCAGCATTTTTAGTTTTAGCCATTATACTGAGTGTGATGGTTAATACCGAGTGTCAACTTGATTGGATTGACAGATACAAGTATTAACCCTGGGTATGTCTCTGTGGGTGTTGCCAAAAGAGATTAACACTTAAGTCAGTGGGCTGGGGAAGTCAGGTCCACCCTTAATCTGGTGGGTACAATCTAATCAGCTTCCAGTGAATAGAAAGCAGGCAGAAAAACGTGAAAAGGAAAGATGTGCAAAGATAGACCTCTTTCTGGGCCAGAAAATAAATCGTTTTAACAATAATCAAATTTACAAAAATAGAAATCATACAATATCTGTTCTCAGACAAGAATAGAACTGAACTACAGATCAATAACAGAAAAACGATTGGAAAAATCTCCAAATTTTTAAGACATTTAACAGCATACATCACAACAATACATGGGTCAAATTTAGAAAAATTAATAAAAAATTTAAAGTATTTTGAACTGGATGGAAATAAAAATGCAGCTTATAAAATACTGGGGAACGCAGCCAGAGCAGTGCTTAGAGGAAAATTAATAGCATTGGATGCATATTAAGAAAAAAAGACAATATAAAAATCAGTACTTGAAGCTTCAAATTTAAGAAACAAGAAAAAGTAGAAGAAATTAGATTCAAGTAAGTATAAGAAAATGAATAATAAATAAAATTCAAACAGAAATCAATTGAATTACAAAGAGAAAATCAATTGAACCCAAAAAGTGGTGTTTTTAAAAAATCAAAAATTTATAAGCTTATAGCAAGGCTAAAAACAAAATACAGAAGACACAGTATCAAAAATAAAAAAGCATCACTACAGATTTTATTAACATCAGAAGGGTAAAAAAGAAACAACATGAGGAATTCTATATTTACAAATTTTATAACCTACATGAAATAGACCAATTCCAAGAAAGACACAACCCAACAAGCTCACAACCACAAAAAAGTAAGCCTATCTATAGTAAATTAATTGAATGAATACTCTTCTGACACAGAAAGCATTAGTCCCATATTACTTTGCTGGTAAAGTCTACCAAATATTTAAGGAAGAAATTATTCTAGTTACCTATATCTCTTCCAGAAGCTAGTAGCAGAGGAAATACTCCCTAACTCATTTTTATCAGGATAGCATTTCTCTAATAGCCAAAATAGACAAAGACATTACAATAAAACTGTAGATGAGTATCACTCATGAACACCAATGCAAAAATCCCTAACAAAGTGTTATCAAATCAAATGCCACAATATATAAAATAAACTATATACCACAACTAAGTGGGAGATATCCCATGTATGCAAGTCTGGTTCAATATGTAAAAATCAATTAGGTCAATTGGCAAGGGAAAAAACTTACAAGGTCATATCAACAGATGCAGAAAAATCATTTGACAACATTTGACAGAATCCCCATTTATGATAAAAAGCCTCTGTAAACTAGGAATAGAAGTGAACTTCCTTGTTTTTATAAATAATATTGTTTTAAAGTCTATAGCTAACAGCCTACTTAATGATAAGAAGCTCAAAGCTTTCTCACTAAGATCAGAAACAAGGCAAGAATGTCTCCTTTCATGACTGCTTTTAAACATTGTTCAGGAAGTCCTTGTTATGTAATAAAGCAAGAAAAAAAGAAGGTGCTTGTATTGGAAAGTAAAAAGAAGAAAACTCTCTTTATTTGCAGATGACATTATCAGCTATGTAGGAACTCCAAAAAAATCAACAACAACAAAAAATCCTGGGGATAATAAGTCACCATAGCAGAGTTACAAAATACAGGTTAGTATACAAAAGCCAGTAGCTTTCCTATAGCTCAACAATAAAAAAGTTGATTTTGAAATTAAAAATATATATATACCATTTGCATTAGTACTCCCATAAAAGATACACTTAGGTATAAATCTAACAAAATATCTAGTAGATCTATATGAGAAAAACTACAAAACTCTAATATAAGAAGTCAAAAAAGGCTAAATAAATGAAGAGATATTCCATTTTCATGGACAGGAGACATTATTGTCAAGATATCTCTTTTTCCCAAGTTGATATATAGATTCAGCATGAACTCAATCAGAATACCAGAAAGTTATTTTGTAATAATCAACAAACTCATTTTTAAGTTTGTGTGGAGGGGCAAAAGACACAAAAGAGCCAATAAAATATTGATAAATAAGAATAAAGTTGGATGACTGACACTATCCAACTTTAAGGCTTATTATGATACTACAGTATTCAGAACAGTATATTGGGAAAGAATACATGAACAGATCGAAGGAATAGAATAGAAAGCTCAGAAATAGATCTGTGGAAATATGGTCAATTGACTGTTGCAAAGAACAAAGTTAATACATTGGAGAAAACATAATCTTTCAACAAACGGTGCTGAAACTTAACTAGACATATGCTGCAAAAAATAATATCAGACTATGTTCTCTTTTCAAAAATGAACTAAAAATAGATCACCAATCTAAATGTAAAATTCAAAACTATAACATTCCTAGAAGATAACATAGAAGAAATTCTAGAAGAACTTGGATATGGTAATGACTTTTTAGATACAATACCAAAGGCAAAATCCATGAAAGAAATAACTGATAAGTTAAATGAATTAAGGATTTAAAATTTTTGATCTGGTAAAGAGCTTGATCAGGCAAGCCACAAACTGTGAGAAAATATTTTTCACAAGTCACAACTGATAATAGAACATCACCTATCATACATTAAAAAAAAAACCACTTAAAATCCAACAATAAGCAAATGAACAACCCAATTAAAAAATGGGCAAAATACCTGAATAAACACCTTATCAAAGAAGAGATACAGATGGCAAATAAGCATATAAAAAGGTGTTCTATATTATATGGAATTAGGAAATTGCAAATGAAAACATGAAATACCACTAAACATCTATTAGCGGGGTTAAAATAAAAACACAAACACAACATCAAATGCTGGTAAAGATATGGAACAAAAGAAACTCTCACTCAATGTTGATGGAAGTGTAAAATTATACAACTACTTTGTAAGGCAGTTTGGAAGTTTCTTAAAAAACTAAACATACTCTTACCATACAATCCAATTACCACACTCCTTGTATTTATCCAAAAGTGTTAAAAAGTTGGGTCCATACAACAACCCATACATGGAAGTTTGTAACAGTTTATTCAAAATTCCCCAAACTTTGATGCTACCACAGTGTTCTTCGTTATGAGAATATATACATAAAATGTGGTACATCTGGTCAATGAAATATTATTCAGCATTAAAAAGAAATAACCTATCAAGCCATGAAAAGGCATGGAGAAACCTTAAGTGACTAAGTGAAATAAGTCAGTCTGGAAAGGTTGTATACTGTACGATTCCAAAAATAGGACTTGCTGCAAATAGCAGAATTATGGCAACAGTAAAAAGATCAGATGCCAGGGGTTAGGGAAAAGGAAGGGATGAATAAGCAGAATACAAAATGTTTAGGGCAATGACACAATTTTGTATGATACTATATTGTAAGACTCATGTCATTATACATCTATCAATAATACCCAAAGAATGTACAACACCAAGAGTGAACCCAAATGTAAACCATAAATTTTGGGTGATAATGATGTGGTAATTAAAGTTTATAAGTTGTTAACAAATGTAGCACTGTGGCATAGGGTGTCAACAGCGAGAGAGGCAGTACATGTGTGGAGCAGAGGGTTTATGGGAACTATCTGTACATTCCATTAAATTTTTCTGTGAACCTAAAATTGCTCTAAAAATCAATGTCTATTAAACAAAATGTCTGCTAAAAGAAGTAGATGTTCTTTAATTCAACAATTTGGAAAAGCAAAAAGGTAAGTTGGAAATTTTGTTGAAAAAATTGAAAAAAAAAAAAGAATTCACAGGAAGAGTGAAGGCAAGGCAATTTTGTACAGCCATTCTAGACAGCAATCTGGCAGACCATTAAATTAACTTGTGAATGTACCGAAACCCAGAAATCGCACTCTTGAATTAACATGCCAATGAAACTTTCACAAGAAGCTCTAAAGATATTTTATTCAAGGATATTCATTTCAGTTCTATATGAGTTAGTGGGAATGATAAGCACCCTTCTTGAATGTCTAAGTAAAATATAATTGAGTTTGATTCAACACAATGTAAGTCTATGCTTCCATCAAAAGTAACAATTGATACATACAATGTAAACATTTGGTAAGAAAAAAAGCCTTCAGTGAAAGCAGAAGAAATAAGAGCATTATTATTTAAGGTGGAGTAGATTTTATAAAGTTGGTATAAATTCTAAGTACATTCCCTCATAAACCATAATTACATATTTTTATGATGAATATACATTTAAGGATTTATACTAAAATAATAAAAAAGATGTTTATTGTTATGAAATAAGATTTAAAATAAGCAGTGAGAAGAAAAACATAAATTGTATGCCATGAATTAAGTATTAGTACTGATTTTACTCTTCCTGACAACCTCTGTTAATGGAGGAATTTATATTACAGGTTTTTATGCTACTGGGCCATTTCATAAGTATAAAGCCCTTCCCATAAAGATGAATCCTAATATTCATTCTGCACAAAGAAGAGTAAGTACACTCGGCTGGGTCTTGAGAAGATACACAAACAAAAGAGTAAAAGCCAGACACAGTCCATTAAAATTAAGAACTTTTCTATAGAGTTTGTGATTATCTTTGAGGATTAATAGTTTTTCACTCAAGACATGCAGCATGTTTAATTTATCCATTTACATATTGAATGAATATGAATAAGTATTCATTTTAAGTAAAAAACTTTTATTGAATACCTGTGGTTCCAGATGCAAGACCAAGTACCTGAGAGGCAAAACTTTGTTCTTGACCTCCACAAATAAAGTTGAGAATATAGACAAATATCAACTGATACAATATATAACAATGTAGTTTGCTAAAGTGTAACAGAAAGAATGAGCAGAGTGTTTTAGGAGATAAGACAAATATATAAAACTATAATAGTATATTAGGAATACATTACCCTGCAAATAAGAAATCTTGACTAATGATGATTTAAACTAAATGGCTACTAATGGTGATTCTGGCAATAATTTTGGATCTCAATAATGTCTTATCTGGGAATACATTATTTTGATTTTTTTTTCTTTTCCTTCTTGGTTCATAGTCATAAATTGACCACTGCTGCTTCTCTAGGTACCATGTCCTGATCCATGTTCAAAAAAAATTTTTTTAATAAAAGGTAAAGGGCTCTTTGTACCTGAGGTTTTATCTTGATATCCCTGAAGGAAATTCTCCCTATATGATTTCTGATTGCAACTCATTGGCCAGAATTAACACATGCTCTCCTCTAGCAGTGAGGATGCTTGATTAGTTAGTATTTCCTTAGAATACTCTCCTTATAGAAGAGGGAGATAAAGAAAAAGAAATTACAGATTGGCATTGCATAAGCCAAATTCATTCTTTGTTGCATAGGAAAAGAAAAAAAATAGATGGATGATAGATAGATAGACAGACAGACAGATAGATAGTAGAAGGTGTTGTTTGAGCTTCATTTTCAGTGATAGGTGAAGTATAATCTCACAAATATTTATGGTGGACAAGGGAAGAAAAACATCCCAAGAGGAGAGACACAATTGAAAAAAAATCATGAGCCCTCACTAAAACTACAGTTAAATCTCTGTAGATGGACAAAGAAGTGTTGTTAATAGGGGTGGCACTTGAGGCTAGAATGGTAGGAAATAATTATGTCATGAGATGCCTTCTGAAATAAGTTAAGGAATTTAAACTTTAGCATAAAAGTATAGCAAATCATTAAAATATCCTTAATAACCATGCTACATGGTCTAATATGCACTGTAGAAAATTTGTTCTCATAGATGGTGAAGGAAAAATTAAAGAATTGCCAGACAGATGCCATGTAAGAAATCATTAGAGACAGAAACAAGAATAGTGAAAATGCAATTGAAGTCTTGGCATGGTGGCTCATGCGTGTAATCCCAGTGCTTTGGGAGGCCCAGGCAGGTGGATCGCCTGAGGCCAGGAGTTCGACACCAGCCTGGCCAACATGGTGAAACCCTGTCTCTACTAAAAATACAAAAATTAGCCGGGCATGGTGGTGGGCGCCTGTAATCCCAGCTACACAGGAGGCTGAGGCAGGAGAATCGCTTGAACCCAGGAGACAGAGGCTGCTGTGAGCCGAGATAGCATCACAACACTCCAGCCTGGGTGACAGAGCAAACCTCCATCTCAAAAGATAAAACTGAAGTTGGTGAAATATACTTAAGACATATTAAAGATATTGATTCCATAGGATACAGTAAATGACTAGATAATAAGTTGATGAGATAAATTGATAAAGAGAAATCTAGGATGACTGCCACGATTGTAAATTAATAAATGAGTGTCAAGTCATTATAAAACAGGAAATGCAAAAGAAGAATAAATACTGAAAGAGATGAAATTCATTTTTGTATTTGTATAGTTATAAGTGTCTCTAAATATCTAAATGTAGGTGAGAAGGTGTTAAATCAGCAGGGGCAATGGATTTTGGAATAAGCGTAATAGTTGGAACATTGGTTATAGATGAGGTTTACTATAGATTTTTATACAGAGAACTAATAATCATGCCTTAGGAAAAATAGCAATGTTCAAGGGCTATGTAAAAGATGATGGACCCATGAACAATACTTAGATGGACTTTTCGAGATATCTCAAGAATACTGGAAGGGTTTAGGGTTGCAGAATATGGCAAGAAGCATAGTAAAGTGGTTGAAATGATATGCAGAAGTCAATAATTACATAAAATAGCCTGTTAAGAATGCAGTATCGAATGTGTTAGAGAAAGTATTAGTGAGCACCATTTTACTAGAGTGTTGAGGGAAAAGCTAGACACAAGAGTGGGAAATAGAAGTGAATGTGAAGAAATAGAACCATGACTGTAGAGTATGCTCTTAAAAAATAATTTCTTAATCATATGTATATTAACTATGAGACAGTTCATACATCTCATTATACTGCCTTATTTGAATGCTTGCATTTTTAGTAAAAAAACCCTACATTTAAATGAGCTCCTTGCAGGCAGATGTATTATACCACACATACAGCAATTTTCATTTTATCTATTTAAAAACATTGCCAGAAGTCTTACTCTAGAAGAGTATGTCAAAAAAAGGTATTAATAACATGCTTTCAGTGTCATTATTTTCTTCATTATTTATTGGATTTTAAAATTTTGCTGCCTTCATATAACTTCACATCACTTATTGGGTTACATTTTAAGAAAATTGCTAGCAGCTGTGGAGATGAATTATGTCTCAATCAAAAAATAATACTAATAAAGCAAAAGTAGAAAATTGGAGAATGTATGTGAAGCTGGACTTTACAGATGAGTGCTTCTAAACTTTGAATAATGTTCAGATTTTAAAAAAAATCTTTAAATTTTATTGTCACTTTATTACATCAGATAAAATTAAATGTAATGACATTTTAGCTCTCATTCAACTATATACATTTCATTCATATATAAAAATATGTTTCATATATAATATATACATATATAAACATACAAAACAAATCTAAAAGCAAAGAATTTCAAATTATTTTTATCAGTATAATGTGATATATAATGTATTACAGCTCTCAAACAGAGCTGCAACTGAGAGCTGTAATGTGATATTAACTGAAACTAAATGTTCTTCTGAGTTTGGCATGTTATATTGTCTTTGAATTCTTCTTTAACAGTTATCTATTTCATTATAATACAATGTGCAACTTTACTTACATATTTAGATGAACACTTGTTGATTATGTTCACTTTTTTTCCTCCTCTACAATATTTCTTCACAATAGATACAGGAGCACTTGATGCTAAATATATTTTAAGTACGGATGAAAATGCATATTGACCTGAAGCAGTAGTTTTCCCTTTTGAAGTGGTTACCCAGATGATCTAAAATTTATATGTACATCTATGTAATTACTGAAAAGCCTCACAAAATTCAAACATTTCATAAAGAATTTACAAAATCACTAAAGATATGTATACTGATGATCCTGCTGGGTTCATGAAACACAGTTGGAGATTCACAGGAGATGACAAATCTAAAATTAGACAATCTTCGAATCCTAAATCTAGCTCTCACTAGTGATGTGATCAAGGAAAAGTTAAACAACCTTTATAAGACTTATTTTGTTCATATGTACAGTGGGTAAAAATAGTAATACTACCTACCCAAGAAGATCAAGTTGTTTACCATACTCCCTTTTATTCATTATGTACTTAAAATATTAGCTATTATGTTAGTTGTTCTATATCCTTATCTCTTAGAAGAAAGGATGAGGATTGGCCAGCAAGACTATGGACAGTACTAAAGAAGTTGTATTGAGCTAGCCTGGACTATAGACTTATTTAAACTGGAGAAGTTTAAATTCTGCTACATTCTAAATTAATGGAATTTTAAAAGTTGACAGTACATATTGTAGATTTCAATAGCGTACTAACCTTTACCAAGGTTAGCGTACTAACCTTTACCAAGGTTAGCGTACTAACCTTTACCAAGGTTAGCGTACTAACCTTTACCAAGGTTAGCGTACTAACCTTTACCAAGGTTAGCGTACTAACCTTTACCAAGGTTAGCGTACTAACCTTTACCAAGGTTAGCGTACTAACCTTTACCAAGGTTAGCGTACTAACCTTTACCAAGGTTAGCGTACTAACCTTTACCAAGGTTAGCGTACTAACCTTTACCAAGGTTAGCGTACTAACCTTTACCAAGGTTAGCGTACTAACCTTTACCAAGGTTAGCGTACTAACCTTTACCAAGGTTAGCGTACTAACCTTTACCAAGGTTAGCGTACTAACCTTTACCAAGGTTAGCGTACTAACCTTTACCAAGGTTAGCGTACTAACCTTTACCAAGGTTAGCGTACTAACCTTTACCAAGGTTAGCGTACTAACCTTTACCAAGGTTAGCGTACTAACCTTTACCAAGGGTAGCGTACTAACCTTTACCAAGGGTAGCGTACTAACCTTTACCAAGGGTAGCGTACTAACCTTTACCAAGGGTAGCGTACTAACCTTTACCAAGGGTAGCGTACTAACCTTTACCAAGGGTAGCGTACTAACCTTTACCAAGGGTAGCGTACTAACCTTTTCCATGTAAAATGTTACATGAAGCAAAGGGTTGATACCTTCAGTATTTTTTAATATACTTCTCCTCATCTGTGTTTTTCCTGTTGTTTTTATTCCCCCAATTGATTGCCCATCTAGCTGCAAAGTAAGTCTTTGTATTATTTGAACTATCAATAAACTATTATAGATTTCAGTCAATCATTAAATCAATATTGATGACTTCAGCCCACTCTACCCCATGAATGTGGTGTTATTTCAAAACCAAATAAAGTAATCATATTAAGACAGTTTATATTAATTTTTAAAGGACCAAAATGTCACCCACGGTATCGTTGCTTCTTGACAGTTTATTAATCTGATAAGATTTCTATTGGTAGAATATAGAAGGGATGTATTTGAACGTGGGCCTTCCTGGGATTTGCTATCACCACAGTTTCTGTCACATTCAGTTACCAGGATCTAGACATCTTATTTTCCTTATAAATGCCAAATTCATTATCTTTAGTATCTATTCCTTTAAAAAATAATAAAACACAGATATGACATGTGAGAGTTTATGAGTCAGTGCAAGGTCGAAACCTAAAGACCAGAAATGTCACAAATTTGTTTTATTTTTAGTCCCATGTCCTTTTTTCAACTTAACATAGCATCACACACATATCAGAAAAATAATATGTGGATGTAAATTAATCTAAATTAATTGTACAATCACAAACATTTACTTTGCGGTAGATAAAAAGATCTTACAAATGACCATGATCAGAGCTCAAATGCAGAATATTCTTGAGTGCATAATTACAACCCATGAGTGCTATAAGAATTAGTGAGTTAAAAGTGATTGGAAATATTTTGATGAGAAATGCCATTAAGTTCTTTATAATCTCAACTTTTTAATTAAATTTCCCAAGGAATATCATTCTACTGCTGTCAAATTCAAGTACAGAGTGTCCCTCCAATATGACCTATAGTATAGAATTAAAGCTTTTACCTCTGGAAATTACAAAGACAGTAAAGGGTGTTTTTTGTTTTGTTTTGTTTTGTTTCTTCAAAGTTAAATACATAAGATTAAAATCTGAAAAAAAGGGGACTTTCTTCACCTAGAAAAAAAAATCATGTTAATCCATTTTAGAACATGGACCTTACCTGAGAAGAGGCTGCTAAAATATCAAAATACATAAAGATCATTGAATACAGTATTTAGCAATTTACAAAACACCAGTGAAAATATAATTTCTAGGTAGAAACTAAACAAATGCCTGACTTGAAACTCAGCGGAAGTAACTGATGTTCAAACATTAAATTTGTGTAGTTAAATAGTAGAAGAGCTCTCTAGGGAGGAAATAGTTATGAAAACCTTTGTGAATAAGACATTTCCACATTTTAAGATATACATAAGGCAAATAATCTGTTTCTTTATGGTGTGTTCAGCCCAAGACACATTTATATGAATGGCACATTCAGTGATCATAGCAATTGTAATTTTATAAAATATATGAGAAAGCTAAAATTTAAATTATATTTATTTTATTGGTACCAGTACTAATTTTCATAATTCATAGAATTTAGAACTCTATCTAGGCAATAATAGCTTGGTAGCATTAAATTAAAATTAATTAAATAGCATTAAATAGCTTGGTTATGTCATTTAGTGAGTTTCTTCTTTAATTTCTTCACTAAGAACTAGTTCAAATTATCTATTAAAAAATCACAAAACAACACCATCCATCATCAAGTCAGAAGCCTGTCTAAAATTAGTACTATTATGATTTAAATTATTATAAGTTTTAACTCATAAAATGGATAACATTGAATATGTTAATAAATCTTGTTTGCTACAAAGAAAATTTTACTTTTTTAGCTTTTTCTTTTTTCTTGAGACAGTTTTGCTCTTGTTGCCCAGGCTAGAGTGCAATGGCACGGTCTTGGCTCACTGCAACCTCTGCCTCCTGGGTTCAAGTGATTCTCCTACCTCAGCCTCTGAGTAGCTGGGATTACAAGCATGCGCCACCACACCCAGCTAATTTTGTATTTTTAGTAGAGACGGGGTTTCTCCATGTTGGTCAGGCTGGTCTCGAACTCCCAGCCTCAGGTGATTCGCCCACCTCGACCTCCAAAAGTGCTGGAATTACAGGTGTGAGCCATGGCACCTGGCCTTTTTTTTTAAATTTTACTTTAAGATCTGGGATATATGTCCAGAATGTGCAGGTTTATTACAAAGGTATATATGTGCCAAGGTGGTTTGCTGCACCTGTCAACCCATCATCTAGGTTTTATGTCCCACATGTATTAGGTATTTTCCTAATGCTTTCCCTCCCCTTGTTCCCCAGCCCCCAACAGGCCCTGGTGTGTACTCTTCCCCAACTTGTGTGTGTTTTCATTGTTCAGCTCCCACTATGAGTGAGAATATGCGGTGTTTTCTGTTCCTGTGTTAGTCTGCTGAGGGTGATGGCTTCCAGCTTCATCCATTCCCCTGCAAAGTACATAATCTCATTCTGTTTTATGGCTGCATAGTATTCCATGCTGTATATGTACCACATTTTCTTTATCCAAATGTCCATTGATGGACATTTGGGTCGGTTCTATGCCTTTGCTATTGTAAATAGTGTGCAATAAACATACATGTGCATGTGTCTTTATAGTAGAATGATTTATAATCCTTTGAGTATATACCCAGTAATGGGATTGCTGGTTCAAATGGTATTTCTAGTTCTAGATCCTTGAGGAATCACCACACTTCTTCCACAATGGTTGAACTAATTTGTACTCCCACCAACAGTGTAAAAGCATTCCTATTTCTCCACAGCCTCCCCGGCATCTATTGTTTCTTGACTTTTTAATAATCACCATTCCGACTGGCGTGAGATGGTATCTCATTGTGGTTTTGATTTGCATTACTCTAATGATCGGCCATGATGAGCTTTTGTCCATAGATTTCTTGGCCACATAAATGTATTATTTTAAGGAGTGTCTGTTCATATGCTTTGCCCACTTTTTGATGGGGTTGTTTGTTTTTTTCTAGTAAATTTGTTTAAGTACTTGTAGATTCTGGATGTTAGACCTTTGTCAGATGGGTAGCTTGAAAAAATTTTCTCCCATTCTGTAGGTTACCTGTTCACTCTGGTGCTAGTTTCTTTTGCTGTGCAGAGGCTCTTTAGTTTAAGTAGATCCCATTGTCAATTTTGGCTTTTATTGTAGTTGCTTTTGGTGTTTTCTTCATGAAGTCTATGCTCATGCCTATGCCCTAAGTGGTACTGCCTAGGTTTTCTTCTAGAGTTTTTATGGTTTTGAGTTTTACATTTAAGTCTTTAATCCATCTTGAGTTAATTTTTGTATAAGGTTAACATAAGGGGTCAATTTTTTTTCTGCATATGGATAGCCAGTTTTCCAAGCACCATACATTAAATAAGGGATACTTTCACCATTGCTTATTTTTGTCAGCTTTGTCAAAGATCAGATCATTGTAGACGTGTGGTGTTATTTCTGAGGTCTCTGTACTGTACCATGGTAGTGGTACCAAAACAAACATATAGACCAATGTCTGTTTTGGTACCAGTGCTATGCTGTTTTGGTTACTGTAGCCTTGTAGTGTAATTTGAAGTCAGGTAGTCTGATGCCTCCAGGTTTGTTCTTTTTGCTTAGAATTGTCTTGGCTATATGGGTTCTTTTTTGGTTCCATATGAAATTTAAAGTATTTTCTCTAACTCTGTGAAGAAAGTCAATGGTAGTTTGATGGAAATAGCATTGAATCTATAAGTTACTTTGGGCAATATGGCCATTTTCATGATATTGATTCTTCCTATCCATGAGGATGGAATGTTTTTCCATTTGTTTGTCTCCTCTCTTACTTCATTGAGCAGTGGTTTGTAGTTCTCCTTGAAGAGGTTCTTCACGTCTCTTGTAAGCTGTATTTCTAGATATGTTATTCTCTTTGTAGCAGTTGTGAATGGGAGTTCATTCATGATTTGGCTCTCTTCTTGTCCAGTGCTGGTGTATAGGAATGCTTGTAATTTTTGCACATTGATTTTGTATCCTGAGACTTTCCTGAAGTTACTTATCAGCTTAAGGAGTTTTTGGACTGTGACGATTGAGACCATGGGGTTTTCTAAATATAGAATCATGTCATCTGCAGAGACAATTTGACTTCCTCTCTTCCTATTCAAATGCCCCATTATTTATTTCTCTTACCTGATTGCCCTGGCCAGAATTTCCAATATTATGTTGAATAAGAGTGAAGGAAACGGCATCCTTGTCTTGGACCTGTTTTCAAAGGGAATGCTTCCAGCTTTTGCCCATTCAGTGTGATATTGGCTATGGGTTTGTTATAAATAGCTCTTATTATTTGCCTGGGTATCACCAGTGGAGGCTGCAGAACAGCAAATATTGCTGCCTGCTCTTTCCCGTGGAAGCTTTGTCCCAGAGGGGCACCAGCCTGATGCCAGATGGAGCTCTCCTATATGAGGTGTCTGTCAACCCCTGTTGGGAGGTCTCTCCCAGTCAGGAGGCACAGGGATCAGGGACCTGCTTAAGGAGGCAGTCTGTCCCTTAGCAGAGCTGGTGCGCTGTGCTGGGAGAATCTCTCTTGTTAGGATCGGCTGCTCTCTTCAGAGCTGGCAGGCAGGAAAGATTAAGTTCACTGAACCTGAGGCTGCAGCTGCCCCTCCTGCCAGGTGCTCTGTCCCAAGGAGATGAGAGTTTTGTCTGTGAGAGCTCCTGACTGGAGCTGCCGGGTTTTCTGCAGAAACGCCCTGCTCAGTGAAGAGGAATCTAGAGGAGCAGTCTGGCCACAGTCACTTTGCTGCACTGTGGTGAATTCTGCCAAGTCCAAACCTCCCAGTCTCAGCACTATCAGGGGAAAACCACCTACTAAAGCCACAGTAATGGCAGACCACTCACCCCCCTACCAAGTTCAATCCTCCCAGACTGCTTTGCTAGCAGTGAGAATTTCAAACCAGTGGTTCTTAGCTTGCTGGGCTCCATGGGAATGAAACCAGCTGAGTGAGACCACTTGGCTCCCTGGCTTCAGTCCCCTTTCCAAGGAAGTAGATGGTTCTCCTGTCTCATTGGAGTTTCAGGCATTGCTGGAGTATGAAAAAAACGACTGTAGCTCAGTCCCTACCCAGTCACCCAGTTTTGTGATTGAAACCCAGGGCCTTGGTGGTGTAGGCTCACGAAGGAATCCCCTGATCTGTGGATTGCAAAAATCTGTGGGAAAAGTGTAGTATCCCGGGTGGGTAGCACAGTCCCTCACTGCTTCCCTTGGCTTGGGGAGGGAAGTCCCCTGGCTCCCTGCACTTCCCAGGTGAAGTGTCAGCCCACCCTGAAGAAGCAGAAGCCCACCCTGCAGAGGCTTACTTTCCGTGGGTTCCACCCACTGCTTAACCAGTCCCAATGAGATGAACTGGGTACCTCAGTTGGAAATGCAGACATTACCTACCTTCTGCATTGGTCTTGCTGGGAGCTGCAGACCAAAGCTGTTTCTATTCAGCCATCTTGCCCCCGCCCCCAGAAATTTTACTTTTCTTATTGACATATTTTATTTTAAATGATGCAGTCAGAAAAGTGGTATATTGTCTTAGTGGCTTGATGAAGGAGAAAAATGCCTTCAAAGCATTGAATCGATTCAAACATTTGAACTCTGGCTTTAGAGAGATGTCTGTGTTAACAGATAATTTACGTAACTTATACAAATCTTACCTATCAAATATCAGTGGAAGCATTTAACCATAAAAAAGGGATTTATGTGCTTTAATGTCTCTACTATTTGGACAGACAATGTTAAACATTTACTTTTGACACATTAAAGGGCTGTAAAAATATGACTTTATGTAGTTTCATTCTATGTGTAGAAAATCTAAAGATTTTTGTTACCATCTTCCCCAATAAAAGGTGCTGAAGTTTTTCTATTACTAGATACATTTATATCAGAATATCATGTGACTAAATTCTGTCCCAAAGAATATGGGAAGAAGTAATATATGGCATTTCTGGGCCCCAAAGTAGTCTGTAGTGCTCGTCCCGAAACACTCTCCCCATCTGCAGGTTAAACACAGAGAAGGAGGAGGCTCTACAAGTGAAATAATCACATGAAAAAAGGAGTCAAGATCAATAAATGGCTATGTCCTGAAAACTCTCCAAACTGTATGAGACTGAGGCTCAAGTGAGAAATTTCTATTTCATAAAATTTCTGAATGTTAGGTATTGATTTTATAATAGTTAGTCTACCTAGACTAATACAAGAGCTAACTCATGGTTTCTTTCTCCAGCTTCTATGCTTCTGCCATCTCAGTGGCTTTCATAGTCATAAGGATGGTGAATAGATGGAAGGGTTGGCCTTGGTAAACCCAAAGTTCATGAATAATATCCAAGATTTCAGAGGTAAATAGAATATGTGTTTTGGGGCATTGGTAAACATTTCTAAGAATGATTTTGTAATAGTTTTGTACAATATTATTTTATTATAAGTGGAATTTTTTCTTAATTTTCTTTTTAGATGCTCATTGATATTGCACAGAAATGCAACTGATTTTCTTCTGTTGATTTTGCTTCCCGTAAGCTTATGGAAACCATTTATTAGTTCTGACAGGTTTATGTGTGTGTGTGTGTGTGTGTCTTTAGTATTTTCTACATATAAAATCATGTCGTCTGCAAACATAGATAATTTAGTTTTTCTTGCTTATTTGGATGCATTTTATTTATTTAATTGTCTATTTACTTTGGCTAGGATTTCCTGTACTATGTGAGAGTGAGCATCAGTAATTAAAACAGAAAAATACTGGCATAAATACAGAAAGACAGGCACATAGTAATGGAACAGAATAGAGGGCCAAGAAATAAACACACACATACAGTAAACTAATCTTTGGTGAGGGTACCAAGAATACACAAAAGGTAAAGATAGTCTCTTCAATAAATGTTGTTGGGAAAAGTGTATATCCACATGCAAAAGAATAAAGCTGAACTCCTATCTTACACTGTACATAAAATTTAACTAAAAATGGATTAAAGACTTAAACATAAAACTCCTAGAAGAAAACACAGGGGAAAATCTTCTTAACATTGGCCCTATGATGATGTATGAATATGACACCAAAAGCACAATAAATAAAAGTAAAAACAGATGAGTGGGGATTTATCAAACTAAAAAGCTTCCCTACAGCAAAGGAAACAATCAACAGAAGAAAAAGAAAAACATGAAATGGGAAAAATATTTGCAAACCATATGTTTAATAAAGGATTAACAGTCAAAATATGTAAGACACTTCTCTACAACTCAATAGAAAACAAACAACAAGACAAAGGGCTTGAATAGATATTACTTCAGAGAAGATATAGAATGACCAATAGTTATATAAAAAGATGCTCCCTATCACTAATCATTGGGGAAATGTAGATCAATAGCAAAACGAGCTCTCATCTCACACTCATTAGAATAGCTATTATCAAAATAGTGATATCAAAGATACGAAGAAAGTAAAACCATTTACACTGTTGTTGGAAATATAAAATGTTGAAGCTTCTGTGGAAAAGAGTATGGAGTTCCTCAAAAAATTAAAAATAGGACTACTGTATTATCTAACAATTCTGCTTCTGAGTATATATGCAAAGAAACTACAACCAGAATCTCAAAGAGGTATCTGTATTCCCATATTAATTACAGTGTTACTTACATAAAAAAGATATGGAAGCCACATAAATGTTCATGGCAGAAGTATGGATACAGAAAATTTGGTATATATGTACAGTGGAATATTTTTCAGCTTTGTAAAAGCAGGAAATCCTGCCATTTGTGACAATATGGATGAACTTCAAGAGGTTATGCTAAGTAAAATAAACCAGTAATGGTAAAACAAACACTACATAATGCCACTTCTATGATAACTTTGAAATAGTCAAACAAATCGATGCATATAATAGAAAGGTGGCTACCGGGGGTGGAAGGAAAGGGAAATAGGGTAATATTACATAAAGAGTACAAAGTTTCACTTATGCAAGATGAATAAATCCTAGAGGTCTACGATGAAGCATAGTGTCTATAGTCAACAATATTGTATTGTATATATAAACATTACTAAGACTGTGGATCTTGTTAAGTATTCTAATCACACAAAAAAATAATAATAACAATAAATAAACAGGGTGTAAATAGATGACAGATATGTTTATGGCATAGATTTTGGTCATGGTTTCATAGGTTTATACTTGTCTCTAGACTCATCAAGTTGCATAAATTAAGTATGTATGACTCTTTGGATTTCAATTATACCTCAATAAAAGTGTTTAAAAGTAAAATAAAATATTTACTCAAATAATATGTACAGCCACCAAATATCCAAAATACTTTGACTACATAGATTATATTATAATATTGTTAATTATATGAATAATTAGTAATAAGTTCATAATTTAAAATCATCTACCCCTGTTAAAGAGAAGGTAGAAGTAAAATATAAAATTAGAAAGTTTGATGGAGAATGGGTCTTCTCGTACTTAACTGGACACAGCTCATTACTTGATTTATTTTCCTGGTAGAAAGAGTTTTTAAAAAAGACATGCAAAATTTTATTAGGAAGACTAAATATAAATTATTGAATATGATTTACCTAAACACACACATACACACACACACACACACACACTCACACACGCATATGCACACAGAGAGAAAAATACAAGTAGAAAAAGTCCTATTTAGCAAACTGAAAGTATGATTTTAGCAGAAATAATTCAGTGAAGATAGTAACCAAATCCCTTTAAAAGGATTTAAGCAGACATTAAAAGACAGAGAAGCACAACTCACCACTTCACAATTTTGCATCAAATTGTGTGAGGCAATATGCAGAGAACTGATAAGCAAATGAGTGAAAAATTGAACAAATAAGAGTACACAGTTTAATATTTTTTTCTGATAAAACTAGCCAAAGTATTCTCAGTATGAAATTCATCAGGTGCCTTAATGGAAGTCTGAAGGTAACCTTGAAAATGAGAGGTGCTGAATGACCCAATGATAATCTGATTAGTACAAAAATGTGTCAATCATGGAATAATTCACCTGCTTTGGCTGTTAATGTTAGTGAATTTCCCTTTAACAAAATAAAATATTGATGCATTTTAATAATAACATAAATTTATTTCCCTCTTAATTTGAGTAGAGAAATTCTTAATATGAAGTCACACTGTGAATAAAATATAACATTAAAGAATACAGTGTTAAGTACAAGAGTTTATTTGTTTCAAGAATAAAATAATCTATTACTTTGTGAATAGTTTATATACCACCATTCTTTTAAGAGAAGCTTTACACAACTTAACTGTATTGATTTCAGGGTGTTTACTGGGATATTCTTTAGTAGTAAAATGTTACACTGAACTCAAAATATGTCTTTGAATGTAATTTATCCAAATAAATATGACATTATACAGCATGAGAAGAGATGAAAATATGTGGTAGATTCAGACAAATGACTATTTTATTTGCTAAAAGATACAAATTTTTGATACTCTTCATAACATGAATGAATATTCCAGATTTTAGGCTTGGTTAAAAAAGTCGGAACCAGAAGATTCCATATGGTATGCTTCTGAGGTATATGAGCATGGGTTGGCAAGGAAGGCCAGGAGAGAACATGGTTCAGAATTTTGTGAGAAAGAAGAAGTAGCTGGGCTGCTGTTGGATCTGTAGCTGCCTCAGTGGCCCTACTGGGCTTCCTAGCAGTGGCCTAGCAGAAAAATAAAAAATATCTGCATGTATTCAGGTAACTAGAGACAAGAATTATGAGCCCATTGAAATACCATCAGAAGATGATAGAACAGTGCTGCTGCCCACGGTTACAGTCCAGTTTCCAGGGGCATGTGGGCTCCCCTACAGGATTCCAGTGTCTCAGGTATTAGGAGTGTCTGCTGGTAGAAGGAATTCTGCATGCCCCCAGTGCTGGCTGGGGAAATTTGGTGTACGTTGTCAACTATTCTGTAGATAACTACAGAAAAAGGGAAAAGACAGATACTTCATTAGCCATAAAAGTGAAAAGAGCAGTCCAGAAAACATCTGCTTTAGCAGTGTTGGGTCTCCCATGGAAAACAACTGAACAGGATCTGAAAGAATATTTCAGTACCTTTGGAGAAATTCTTATGGTTCAGGTCAAGAAGGATGTTAGAACTGGCTATTCAAAGGGGTTTGGCTTTGTTCATTTTATAAAATATGAAACCCAGGTGAAAGAATGTCACAGCAACATAAGACAGATAGATGATGGTGTGACTGTACAGTTCCTAACTCTAAAGCAAACACTGAATGAGACTTTGAGAAGCAAAAAGATGTTTGTGGGGTGTTGTACAGAGATTATGAATTCTGATAAGCTGCAGCAGTTCTTTGGTCATTGCAGAGAAGTGATAGATGTCTTCATTTCCAAACCATTCAGGGACTTTGCCTTTCTTACATTGCAGATGATTAGCTTGCCCAGTCTCTTTGTGGAGAGGACTTGATTATTAAGGGAATCAGCATACATATATCCAATGCAAGTGTAAGCACAATAGCAATAGACAGAAAAAGGTGGAAGATTTGGTGGTTTCCAGGTAGCTTTGGGAATCAGAGCGGATTTGGTAACTGTAGTGGGAGTGGAGCAGACCTGAGAAACAATCAAGGTAGAACATGGAGGGTGGAATGAACTGCAGGGTCAGGCAGTGGTTTTAACTGAGACTTTAGCTCAAGTATGGGTTCTAAGTCTTCTGGCTGGAAAATACAGACTTGGGGGGTATGGTTGGTTGGAATCAAACGGTGAAATTACAAATTTTTCTAAACTCATGGTAAGTATACATAAAATACATATGTACTAAGAACTTTCAAAATTGGTTTGTCACATGTGGAGTATATTCAGCAGTATTTTTAACATTTTTCTTTAAAAAAAGAGGAATAGCTAATGGGATTTTATAAATTTTGTTACATAAAGGGTTGAAATATTGAGTGATTGAAAGTGAAATGTGTTAGCCTAACTTGACAAATAAATAGTATATAATTGATATCAAAAGGATTCCTCTATAACATTTTATCCGTGGACATGTCAATTCTGTCCTCATTCAAAATGGAAACCATTGATTAAACTATATTCTTTTCTTCTTGTTTTAATTTAAACCCCATCATATGAATTTTTTTTCCTTAAGAAAATCTCTTTTGGAGAGATCATGGTGTCAAGTGTTTAGTTCTTTTGTTTTCGTTTTTACAAATCTCATCTTGAATTGTAGCTCCCACAATTTCCATGTGTTGTGGGAAGGACCCAGTGGGAAATAATTGAATCATGGGAGCAGTTTCCCCATACTGTTCTCAAGGTAGTGAACAAGTCTCACCAGATGTGATGGTTTTATAAGGGGAAATCCTTTTTGCTTGCTTTCATTCTCTCTTGCTACTGCCAGGTAAGAAGTGCCTTTAGCCTTCTGCCATGATTGTGAGACCTCCCCAGCCACATGGAACTGTGAGTCCATTAAACTGCTTTTTCTTTATAAAATACCCAGTCTTGGGTATGTCTTTATCAGCAGCCTGAAAACAGACTAATACAGTAAATTGGTACTGGTAGAGTGGGGTGCTTCTCTGAAGATACCCAAAACTGTGGCAGTGACTTTGGAACTGGGTAACAGGCAGAGATTGGAATACTTTGGAGGGCTCAGAAGAAGACAAGAAAATGGGGGAAAGTTTGGAACTTTCTAGAGACTTGTTGAATGGCTTTGACCAAAATACTGATAATGAGATGGACAATGAAATCCAGGCTGAGGTGGTCTCAGATGGAGATGAGGAACTTGTCAGGAATTGGAGTAAAGGTGACTCTTGCTATTGTCTAGCAAAGAGACTGTTGGCATTTTGCGTCTGCCCTAGAGATTTTGTGAAACTTTGAACTTGAGGGAGATGACTTAGGGTATCTGGCAGAAGAAATTTCTAAGTACCAAAGCATTCAAGAGGTAATGTTGGGTTCTGTTAACAGCATTCAGCTTTAAAAGGGAAACAGAGTATAAAAATTTGGAAAATTTGCAGCCTGACCATGCAATAGAAAAGAAACAGCCATTTTCTAAGGAAAAATTTAAGTTGCTGCAGAAATGTACATAAGTAATGAGGAGCCAAAAGTTAACCACCAAGACAATGGGAAAAATGTCTGCAGGGCATGTCAGAGCTATTTATGGCAGCCCCTCCCATAATAGGCCCAGAGGCCTAGGAGAAAAAAATGGTTTTGTGAGCTGGACCCAGGAGCCCCTGCCTGCTATATACAGACTTGTACTTGGTGCCCTGCATCCCAGCCACTCTAGCCATGGCTAAAAGGGGCTAAGGTACAGCTCTGACCATGGCTTCAGAGGATGTAAGTCACAAGCCTTTTCAGCTTCCACGTGGTGCTGAGCCTGCGGGTACACAGAAGCCAAGAATTGGGGTTTGGGAACCTCTGCCTCAATTTCAGAGAATGTATGGAAACACATGGATATCCAAGCAGATGTTTGCTGCAGGGGTGGGGCTCTCATGGAGAACCTCTGTTAGGGCATTGTGGAAAGGAAATGTGGGGTGGGAGTCCCACGTAGAGTCCCTACTGGGGCACTGCCTAGTGGAGCTGTGAGAAGAGCACCACCATCCTCCAGACCCCATAATGGTAGATCCACTGACAGCTTCCATCATGCACCTGGAAAAGCCACAGACACTCAATGCCAGCCTCTGAAAGCAGCCTGGAGAGAGGCTGTACTCTGCAAAGCCACAGGGGTAGAGCTGACCAGGACCATGTGAACCCACCTTTTGCATCAGCTTGACCTGGATGTGAGACATGGAGTCAAAGGAGATCATTTTGGAGCTTTAATATTTGACTGCCCTGCTGGATTTTGGGCTTGCATGGGGCCTTTAGCCACTTTGTTTTGGCTCATTTTTCCAATTTGGAGTGAGCGTATTTATCCAAATGCCTGTACCCCATTGTATGCAGGAAGTAACTAACTTGCTTTTGATTTTACAGGCTCATAGGCCAAAGGGACTTGCCTTGTCTCAGATGAGACTTCAGACTGTGGACTTTTAAGTTAATGCTGAAATTAGTGAAGACTTTGGAGGACTGTTGGGAAAGAATGATTGGTTTTGAAATGTAAGGACATGAGATTTGAGAAAGGCTAGGTGCAGAAAGATATGGTTTGCCTGTGTCTCCACCCAAATCTCATCTTGAACTGTGGTTCCCATAATTCCCATGTGTTGTAGGCAGGACCCAGTGGGAGATAACTGAATCACAGGGGCAGTTTTCCCCATATTGTTCTGGAGGTATTGAATATGTCTCACCAGATCTAATGGTTTTATAAGGGGAAAACTCTTGCTTGGTTTCATTCTCTCTCTCTTCTCACCATGTAAGAAGTGTCTTTTACCTTCTGCCATGATTGTGAGGCATCCCCGGGCATGTGGAACTGTCCATTAAATCTCTTTTTATAAATTACCCACACTTGGATATGTCTTTATCAGCCACGTGAAAATGAACTATTACACCATCATATACAAAAGTTCAATATGAAGCCTTCATTTAATCTCTGTAGTTAACCTCATTTCAAATTTTTCTGGAAGTACTTTATTGAAAGTAGTGCTGTAAAATTTTGCCATAGGTATACTTCTGTTTACATGCTTTCTCATTCAATAATTTGTCATCATGTGTCATAGGCCGCATCTTTGACAGTGGGTGTCCCATTTTTATCCATTACTGTTTATTTCATGGAGTTGTATCAATGCTGTGGATGCAAGGCTGTAATATGGAATCAGAAAGCTTTTTGAAGTTTTGCAACTTTGTGTGTGATTGATGGTGGTGCCAAGGCATGAAAAGCTAGTATGAGCGAGAAAAGGAGAAAGCACATGCAAAGACTTAGTGGAGCATAATGAATACTTTTTAACTTGGCAAGACATATATCTCTAACTTGTGGCTTTGGTGAGAGAGTGTGCAGAAAGCAATGACAGCAAATAATGTATGAATGTGTTTTGCATTCAAAGGACATCCACATCTGTTGGAAAACTTTAAGTGAAACTTTTAGTGACTTTTTTCTTATATAACCCACATTAGTTGAATGCGTTAAGTGAAACAATACGTGTATTCCCCCTACCACTTTGTCAAGTTCTGTGAATGCTGTATGGTGTGTGTTTCTTTCTGTTACTGATATGTAATTTTGCTAATGCGAACTGAAGCTGTTGGGAGAACACTGAGAACATGGACTGAACTTGTGTGCTTTGCAGGAGTACTTGGAAGCCGAGTTCGTGAGTGAGGTCAGGCATCTCAAAGAAGGGTTGAAGTTCTAATGTCTGTTAGCTACCCATAAGACTGGTGCTAGCTGCAGTTCTGTGTCCCATGCTTGGATGCTTTTTATAAGAGTTGTCAATATTGAAAATTCTTAAATAAAACTGATTTAAATAACAAATAAAAATATTTATGGATACATAATAGTTCTATGTTTTTATGGGGTACATGTGATATTTTGATACAATCTTATGGGTAATAATCAAATTAGGGTAATTGGGATATCCACCACTTCAAATATTTATCATTTATTTCTGTTGGGAACATTCCCATTCCGTTTTTCTAGTTCTTTTGATATATACAATAAATTGTTGTTAACTGTGGATATCCTATTGTGCTATAAAACACTAGATATGGTTCTTTCTATTTCAGTGTATATCTCTCACTTATTAACTAACCCCTCTTTATACCCTTTTCCCACTACCCTTCCTGGCTTCTGGTAACAATCATTCTACTTCCTACCTCTATAAGGTTAATTGTTTTAGCTCCCATATATGAGTGAAAATATGTGATATTTGTCTCTGTGTGCCTGGATTATTTTACTGAACATAATGTCTTCCAGTTCCATCCATGTTGCTGAAAATGACAGGATTTCCATCTTTTCAGCTGAATAATATTTCATTGTGCATATAAACCACATTTTCTTTATTCATTCATCCACTGATGGACACTTTGTTTTATTCCATATCTTGGCTATTGTGAATAGTGCTGCAATAAACATTGGAGTGCAGATCTTTCTTTTATATACAGAGGTAACATTTTATGTTGTTATGAACTGAATTTTCTTGAGTATGGGTTACACAGACAAATGAATATTTCAAACTTCATCTAAGAGCACACTTAAGATTTGTGCATTACACTTAACATATATAAGTGCTAATAAGAAATAAAGTGCACTCAACTAGAGTTGAATCTTGAACAACATGGGTATTAGGGTTGCTGAACTTGTGTAGTCAGAAACCCACACATAACTTTTGATTTCCCAAAAACTTAACTGCTAATAGCCTGCTGATCACCAGAAGCCTTATTGAAAACAATAAAGTCAATTAACACAGATTTTGTATTTTATGTTATATGCATTATTACCTGTATTCTTACAATTAAGTAAGCTGTAAAAATGTTGCTATAAAAATGAAAAAAAGAAAATCATAAAAAAGAAAAAATATATTTACTATTTATCAAGTTGAAGCAGATCATCATAAATGTCTTCATCCTCATCATCTTCACATTGAGTAGGCCGAGGAGGAAAAGCAGTAGGTTTGGTCTTGCCTCAGATGTGGCAAAGCCAGAAGGAGATCTATGTATAAGTTGTCCTGTACATTTCAAACCCGTGTTGCTCAAGAAAAAAGTATATATGTAAATGAATACTAAGTCATAAGCAAATACCTAAATGTAAAATGACTACAAGCAAATATTACTTTTTAGTTTCTAAGTTTGATACTCTCTGGAGTATTGTTTAGCAATCATAAAACTGCTGCATAGTGTGAGTCTGAGCAAATGAGTAATATTATTGAAGATAATAATATGTGCATTTCTCACTGTTGGGAAAGGGAGGTGCAAATTGTTTTATAAAGGGGAAAAATCAGAACAAACTCCGAGATGCTGGTTTGGAATTATGGGAATTCCTGGCTTTAAACATAGATCCTTAAGTGTATGTATAAATAATTATATGTATATGTATTATTATTTTTATTGAATAATTATTATGTGTATTAAATAACTATATGTATATGTATATATAAATAATTATATAAATGTATACGTACATTTATAAACATATAATGTATACCTACTTTATAGATAGATAAATAGAGAAATTGAGAGATAGATAGTTTATAGATGATCTACACATAATCTGTAAATACTTTGCTGATAAGATGTAGAAGCAATGGTGTGCAAGTAGCAATGAGTATCTTACCATCATTGGCTTATAAATATCATTCTAAAGTATGTAGTATCTGGCTCCTTAAAGATTTGAATGATTCCAGAACTGAGGCATAAAAAGCATCTTATGAGTTAACAACAACTTGCTATTCCAGAAACTAAAAAGGAGGGCAAATGAGGTAATGCACCTTTTCATTAACTAGATTTAACTATTCTATAATGCATATATATTATATTATGTTGTACATAATAAATACATACTATTTTATCTTCTGATTGAAAAAAAATTTTTTTTAAATCAGGGAGCCAGCTTGAAGAGGCTCCCGCTGGTCAGATATGGGACAAGTTATGCCTTAAAATAGTGATCGTATTGGCTTATACCTTTTAATATTTTCTCTGGCCAGGGGATATGCAGCATTTCTTGCAATAGCTCCTACCTGTGCCAGTAATCAATATGACTGAATTATCAGCATCTAAAAGGAGGTGCAACACTTTCTTTTAACTTTTATTTCTTTGGGATTAACATGGAAGAGCCCTGGTTCTTAATATTCATTAACATACATGTTCAGTTGCTTTAACATTCAATATCACTGCAACCAAGTAATGTACATATTTAAACTTTAAATCAACACTCACGATTTTAATTATATTATACAATTGTCTAGTGAGTTTTAAAAAAGAATTTTACTACAAAAAGAAAAAAGAAGAAGAATGAAAAGCCATTACCAAAGTCATTTTTTCAGGCACTCTTGGTAAAATGATAAGAGTGTGCAATTAGAAATCCTGGATTTGGGATTTGAGTCTGATACTTTAAAGAGCTGTGGCATTGGAGAAATCATTTAATATCTAAAATTTATTATACCTCAAAATGTGGGCAATACAAATAGCAATCATGTCTATTATAACCCCATCCCAGAGTTTTTGTGAAAGTTGTTAGGAAGCTTTTCTTAGAACTGTGTGACCGTGTCTTACTTTAGCCCTCCTTCAAGGTCCCAGTAAAATCTCTGTCATCAACGAGACCTCACCGTTATTCCAAAGTCTTCAATAAAATGTATCATTGGATATTAAATCACAAGGAAAATTCTTTGCTTTATTATAAATTCAAAGAAGCCATTGTAAAAGAAAACAAAAGCCCAAAGAAAAGTATTAATTAGTAGAGTCATGAGCTAAGTATTTAGCTCCTCAGTTTTTTTCTATTTATATTTTTGTGAGTGTATTACAAATTATTCATGCAAGAGTAATTGAATGGAAAAGAAAAATGTCCAAATATTTCTAAGTTAGTTTTATACAAGAGATGTAAAGTGTCTTTAATACTCAATATTTGAATTTTAAAAGCCAGTCACATTAGATTTCATTACAAAGACACATAAACACAAACCTATACCCATATCCCCATATCCCATTGGTGATTCATGTTTTATACCCAAATAAAACATGCTGTGATATATGCACTTGTCAATGAAAGAATAAAGTACATTTTGTCATAATTCCCAGTGAAAAAACCATTTTTCAAATAGGTTCCATGCTGAAATGATAATATAACATCCTAATGTTCTATTTTAGCAGATTCAAAATGAATACTTGGTACTCTCTCCATAGGATAATATAAATAAATGCAAATATAAATGGCTTATTCTAGTTCCACAGGTTTACAATGATTCTCAAGTGTCTCTTAAGATATGTCTCTTAAGATTATAATAATGTTATAGCTTAAAATTAAAACTTAATTTAAGCTTAGAATAGATACGTAAAATAGTACAAAGTTTTTTATTTAGATTTGTAAATACTGCGGATTTATAAGCATATTTAATCCAGTTTATTTTTTTCTCTTTAGCATGAGTTTTATTATCAAAAAATTTGATTGAACAAAAATTATTTCAAATATTAGGAAAAAAATCCTAAAATCTATATGGAACAAAAAAAGAACCCAAAGCCAAAGCAATTCTAAGCAAAAAGAACAAATGTAGAGGCATCACATTACACAGCTTCAAATTATACTACAAGGCTATAGTAAATAAAACAGCATGATACTGATATAAAAGTAGATGCATAGAGCAATGGAACCTATAACCCAGAAATAAAGTCAAATATTTACAACAAACTTGTTTTCAACAAAGAATACAAGAACATAAATTGGGGAAAGGACAGCCTATTCAATAAATGGTGCTGGGAAAGCTGGATAGCGCATGTAGAAAAAAATGAAACTTGATTCCCGTCTCTCACTGTGTGCAAAATCAACTCAAGATGAATCACATATTTATTTCTAAGACCTGAAATCATAAAAATTCTAGCAGAAAACCTAGGATAAACTCTTCTGGACATTAGCCTAGGCAAAGAATTTTTGACTAAGACCAAAAAAGCAAATGCAACGAAAACAAAAATAAATACATGGAACCTAATTAAACTGAAAAGCTTCTCCACAGCAAAAGAAATAATTATCAGAGTGAGAAGACAACCCACAGAATGGGAAAAGATATTTGCAAACTATGCATCTGACAAAGGACTAATGCTCAGAATTCATAAGGGACTCAGATCAGCAATAAAACAAACAAACAAACAAATAATTCCATCAAAAAGTGGGCAAATTACATAAATAAACATTTCCCAAAAGAAGATATAAAAATGGCCAACAAACATATGAAAAAATGCTCAACATCACGAATCATCAGGGGGATGCAAATTAAAAAAAGAATAATATACTGCTTTACCCCAGCCAGAATGGTAATTATTAAAAATTCAAAAAACAACAGATTTTAGCATAGATGTGGTAAAAAGTAAACACTTATACACTTATATGCTGCTGATGGTAATGTAAATTAGTACAATCTCAGTGAAAAACAAAATGGAGATTTCTCATAGAATTAAAAGAAGATCTACCATTCAATTCAGCAATCCCACTACTAGGTATCTACCCAAAGGAAGTAATTATGTAAAAAAGACATCTGCACACATATAGTTATCAGTATGCAATTTGCAATTGCAAAGATATGGAGCCAACCTAAGTACCTATCAACCTACGAATGGATAAAGAAAATGTGGTATATATACACCATGGAGTTCTACTCATCCATAATAAATGATAAAATAATGCCTTTTAAAGCTACTTGGATGAAACCGAAGGCCATTATTCTAAGTGAAGTAACTCTGGAAATGGAGAACCCAATATTGCATATTCTCACTTATAAGTGGGAGCTAAGCAATGAGTATACAATAGCATATGAGCCAGTGTAATGGACATTGGAGACTCACAAGGGAGGAGGGCTTGAGAGGGGTGAAGGATATAAACTACATATTCTGTACAATGTACACTACTGTGGTGATGAGTGCACTAAAATCTCAAACTTCTCCTCTAAACAATGCATCCATGTAACCAAAAACCACTTGCACCACTAAAGCTACGGAAATTTAACAAAGAAAAGAAAAAGAAAAACACCTTTAGGAGAAAAATGGCTCACAGTAGTCAACCTTACCTCTCTAGATTGCTGACTTCTCTTAGTTCCCCCTGGTTCTGTTATTCTTCACTGCCTTTTGGATATCTAATACCTTCATGTATTTTTTAATCTCATATTTGATATTTGTCCTTAAGGGAAAGGTTATAGAATTCTCGTTTTCCATTTTCAAAATCAGATATCATTTTATATTATTGATTGATTATATAAGTATAAATGTAGATATTGGTAAGATTAAATTTGAGTCCAGTTTACCAATTGCTTGCATTAAGAGTAGCTTCATTTTTATTTTCTTTTAAATGTAATAAAACATAGAAGTTCAATAAAAAGAATGTTAGTAAATACATTATGTAGGGAATAAATGTCTATTTTCTTCACACATTGGCCTCTAAAACCATTTCCAGTGCCACTAGAGAGCAATTTCCTATGCATTCAAGCTTTTCCTATGCATATACAGTATTAGATTGTTAGATAAATAAAGGCAGATGTGGATAGATATTTATAATATATAATATATATTTAAAATATATAATATTTATATATAATATATATTTAACACATAGTATATACATTTAAAAATGTAGATTTTATATATATATATATTTTAGATCTATATAAATATATAGTCCTTGGCATGTTTTAATGGGATTAAATGATACTCAATCTTCTATAATTTGAATTTATTCTCAGACAAAATATTATATTATTTGAAAAAATAATAATGCCATTTCTTTTATTTGTATATTAACAGCCACACTTTTATGGAAAAAGTAATTAAGGGAGCAGATGCCTGTTTAATTTGTGGGGACATTTTTTGGGTCCAGGGAAACAACAATGTATTTGATAGCCCATGTTTCAAAGGTTACACTGTGTTAGGGATCAAACTATGCTCTACTATATTGGGGGGGGACAGAGGACCATTTTTGTTTCATGGATTGATGATCTTGAGAAATATTTTTGTGGCACAATCATTTACACTCTCATGAAGTGCACTAAGTAGTAGCAATAATTGTTCTCCTTCAAGTGGCTTCTTGATGAATATACACTGATAAATGGAAAGCAGTTCATGAGATAAATGGATATAATGCCTTGTAGTAACTGTAGCTGAGAGACTATCTATGGACAAACATAATAGAAACAACTGAGGAGTATCTCCAGGGAAAGAAGTGGATAGAAATCCTAAATAATTAGGTAGAGTAAAAAAATCCAGGTACTTAATGGTATTGAAATAATACCACTTGATTTTTGTCCATAAACACAAACTAAGGAATCAAGCAATCAGTTTATTGAAATGATATGTGTGTATATGTGCAATTGTATTAGTTTGCAAGAAGTTTCCCTCAATATAATACTCAACTAAGAGTGGCTTCATCGAGATGGGCTTATTTTGTGTCATGAACAAGTATTCTGAACATAGAAAATAATTGGCAATGCTTCAATTGCTCAACACTGTAGAGCTACTGGGAAGTTACTTCTGCAATTCTGTTCACATTTCCTATAGAGTGCTTGAATTCATCTTTAAGCAGTAACGAAGTGCTTGGGAACAAGGCAAAAATGGACCTTACTTTATATCATAGTAAGTTAGCTTTCCCCAAAGCCCCATCAAATTTACCCTTACATCTCATTGGAAACAGTTGGTCAAATGACCACACTTACATTGCAATGGAGGTTGAGAAAGTCACCACATGACCATGGGAAAAAGAAGTACCTCATTTGTGTAGCGATATCAAAGTCACTACTAACGGCCGCACAGAAAATCTTTAAGCATGAAAGAAGGAAATAGGAAATGCCTGTTGAATAGGCAATAAATGCCACCTTACAAAAAAAGACTCCTTTAAATCAGTGGAATCTAAGGGAGGATTCCCTCCATGAAATGAGTTACGTAAGTCATAAAAAATTCAAATTCTAAGCCACTTCTGCCGCTTCTTTACGTTATATACTAGAATTTTTCGTCTTTTACTTAAAAACAAAAACAACAACAAAAAAATAGGGCCAGGAGCAGAGGCTCCCACCTGTAATCCCAGCACTTTGGGTGGCTGAGACGAGCAGATTGCTTGAGCGTAGGCATTCAAGACCAGCTTGGGCAACACGGCAAAATCTCATCTCTACAAAAAATACAAAAATTAGCCAGGCCTGGTAGCACACGCTTGTAGTCCCAGCTACTTGGGAGGCTAAGGTGGAAGAATTACTTGATCCTGGGAGGTGGAGGCTGCAGTGGGCCATGATCCAGCCATGGCACTGCAGTGACATAGTGAGACCCTGTCTCAAAAAAAGAAAGTAAAAGTAAATAAAATAAAATAAAATAAAAATTAGATGTTATTACTAACAATAAAGATTTGTAAAGTTACCCATATTTACTAATATTTAGTTGATCATTTTATTGTTTGAATCTCTTATTGTTTTTCTATTTGTTCATGTATGTGAAGCTCTGTTAGTAGAAACTCCATTGATTTTGTTTGAGAAAAAATATAATTTTGCTTACATGCAAAACAGAATTTTTTCTAAATAAGAAATACTAATGCTAAGTTGATGGTTACATTCTCTCAGTCGTTGAATGTGCTTTCATTGTCCTCAAGCTTCCTTGCTGTTTTCAAGAATTTAATTATCAGTCTGATAACAACTTATCTATTGAAACTCAATTATCTTCTCTGGCTGTCTTTTTTTCTTTGTTTTTCCGATTCAGAAGTTTCCATATGCATATAGATATGAATTTATTTATATTATTGCTTCTTCTTAAGATTCACTAGGCTTTCTGAATCTGAGAATTTTCAAAATATTCATCATAATCACAACTGCTGCTTCTTTACTTTTCTTCATTATCTCCTTATGAAAATGTGACTGTGTATGCATTAGACCATCTCATTCTCTCCTCAATATCCCTTAACTACTCTTTTATATATTTTTTCTCCTATCCACTCTAAAGTATCTGTAATATATTAAAATCCATCTTTTCATTCAGTAACTCTCTCTTTTAATATTTTGAATCTATGCTTTAGGATGTTTCTTTCATTTATAATTTACTGTATCATTTTTAATCTGTATAAAATTTGTTGCCCTTTTTCATATCTGGTTAATTCACTTTGATGATATCTTGTTGCTTAATAACATTGTGATATATTATATATACTTAATATTCTGTAGCAGATAATTCTAGTGACCATAGTCTTAGCAGGTACAATTCTAAATTAGTAGCTCTTTCAAGCTATCATTTACAGTTCCTTGTTTTCTCATGAATTCTTGACTTTTCTATCATGAGCTCATATTACTTCCAATTTTAATAATACATTTTTTGAGACCTCACTACAAACTATATTATTGCAGAGAGGATTTGGTTTTTCTTCTCATAAGTGCTTGTTAGAAACAAACAAAAAATGACCACTTTAGTCATCAACTTGTTTATTTCAGAAGTACAGGATATTAAGTTTTCTAGTTCCAAATCCTTTTAAGAGTGGACTTTTCTTAGAAACTGTAAGGAGATACTTTCATTTTTTTTCACCTTCACAGTGTGAGACAAATATTTCTCTAATCAAAGCAAGGAATTTTGTGTATTTGTTATTTATTTTGTGCTAGATTTGATGGTGGAAGGTGAACTATGGTTTAGGAATCTCTGAATCAAATTCACCCTTATATTGGCCCTAGGCATTGTCTCCTCCTCCTGTGCAGAACACATCTTAATGAGAGTAATGCTCTAGGATATCACCAGAAATCAGGTGATAAGAAGCCCTTAGAACAATTACCAGTTCCTTTACAAATTCATTTCTCCCCACTTACGTTTTTATCATGCTTTTGTCCTCTCATTTCTTCCTTATTTTAGACCTAGTAATACATTAAAAAATATGACTTCTTGTATTTCATCCAGTTTGTTCTCAGGACTTTTGAATCACATGAATTAAGACTCAGTTTAAAATTATAAATACAGACTGCCTAGGTTTGAATCTTAGCTCGGCCTTTTGCCAGCTATCAGACCCTGAACAAATTCCATAATTAGATGATCCTCAGTTTCTTCATCTGTAATTGGATTGGGGGGGGTGGCAAATAATAATATCTGCATAATGATTTGACTGTGAAAGATGCATTAGCTAACTTATTTAAAATACTTAGGACTCAATACTGCGGGAATACCTGAGAATATTGTAGAAAGAAAAAGGTCCTGTTATTTTTTTTCAATAAAATAAAATAACCAGATTTCAGAATCAAAATTAGAAAAAGTACTAATTGAATAAACATAGGTGTTTAAGAAATATAAACAATCCTCTAGGGATTAACGTAAGGATGATTTTAAATTGGTCCATTATGTAGAATCACTGATTTCAGAGAAGCACAACTGATTATAATTGGTAAGTCGGTTGAGAGTTACCATATTGCAAAATATCGTAATTCTGCCCTTTCATCATAATGTAAGGAAACAGGATTTTTAACTTTAAAGACATGGAATAAGGCTTTCCAATGTTAGAGAGTTATTAAGATGCTTATGGCCTTTAAATGTTGGAATCAGAACTCTTGTGTTTCTTTTTTTCCTCAAAGTAATTAAAGCAGTTGCTGTATTTTATGAAACATGAAAAAACCCCAACTTCTGCAGTACATTATATTTCCAAAAGAACACTTTTCTAATGAAGAAAATATATTTTGAGAATTTAATGCCTGGGTTTGGAAATCATTATCTCCTCTGGAATGTCATAACATGAAATAAGTGTATTAATATATTAGTGTGGTGATATGGGATCAATAGATTTCTCTGGTTGATTTGAGATTTCAAATAAAAGTCACAGTTAAGATGATTTTAAGGGAAAAATAATATAATATACAAACTTTTAAAACATCAGTTCACACAAACAAAAGAAAGGGAAATACTGCTTAAAACATTTTATGTGGTAACCACTTGTCACTTTTGTTATTTAACAACTATCCATCATTTTAAATTTAAAAAATTCTTAAGTTTAAGAAAACTTGTCATCTAGAAGTAAAAATAAAAAAGAATCTTTTATTTCAGGTAAGTCATTAGGATGACTCAATCACTGGGTTTGGTATGCTAGTTGCTCACTAAATATTTATAAATAAATCCATGAATGAATTATTACAGTGAATTGAAGAGGTGAATTTTCTGAACATTACCATTGTCATAAACTTTATGATATTCCAAAATTTTACTTGGTTAACTTAATTTCATTGTGAATAGTTCTCTATTCTTGCATTTTACAAAATAAGATATATACTACTTTGTATTACTTGGCTATTATTTTCCAGTTAACCTGTCTTTCTTTATTGCTTCTTTTAATCTTAAATGATTTATATCAGTTTCCAAAATACATGAATTTCACAATCATAATGCTTGAAGTTACCCTCTTTTTTTTTCCTCTCTTTTCTGCATGGAGCTATGCATAAACTATATTGCTAAAATCCATTTCATGGAGTGTTCATTTTTTAAAATATGGGATGAATAATTACATGTTCTTCTTTAAATCTGCTTCTTGTTCAATGATACCATTGAATTCTTGACCAAATATTTTAAACTCTAGAGAAATATTGTATATTCATTTATTCAACTACTTTTCAGAAGCATCTATCTCAGCAATTTTATCAGATATGCCATAATAAGGTCTGTCCTCTATTATCTATGCAATTACCTATGCTTCCATTTTTCCAAAGAAGTTTCATAGTGAAAATTATTCTCTTTTATGGAATTAGGGCAACAAGTGGCAACAGATGCACTCACATGTAATGAAGCACAAGACCCCAGTCTGGCATTGCTAGTCAAGCATTTCCACTTATAGGAGATGTCACTTTTTGCACTCAACAAGCTATCCTGCTAAATTAATCTTTGGTTGGCATTTATGTCTACTTGAAACTAGCTTGCCACTTCCTCAGTATGGCATCACGACAACCTAACAGATGGGCCAAAGGACATGCATGCCAGATGATCTGAATGACAACCAGGTTTAAATATTATGGGAAGTATTCTTTTATTCAAATGCTGTAATAATGACCTACACCAATTATATATATATTAAAAAAATGAGAAAGTGAATACTATTTCAGCTTTATATGTATAGATATTTTTAAAGTATATGTCAAATTTAAAGATAAATTACAGCCATAATTACACCTATGTGTATGCCTGTGCAGATACCAGTTAAATGAAATTAAGGCCAAGCTCAGAATGCCCAGTCCTTAGAATTACAAAGAATATTAATAGCACCTTCCCTTAGGTGAAGCGTTGAAATGCCCAAAGTCACCTACCTGGTTTATTAATCAGTGTTCTTCCCAAATATCTTATCTCAATATAGACTAAATTCTGTCCTACTCCTTGGACACTGTGCATCTTCTGGCTCCTGATTTACTGGACTCTAGATAATTCACTTTTCCTTACTTCTTACTACATATCTCTTTCATATTTCTGTCTCTTCATCTAGCTTTTAACCCTTGTGATTACCACAACTTCTAGGAACCCTGATTTTTCATGATCAGTCTGTTTGGACTTATTTTAATTTACTGCTATTATTATTTAATTTTTTATTGCTTTTTGGCATGTTAACTTCCCCTTTGAATTCATGCTCTTAGCTATTGCATCCAGTGTTTAACTGGCTTTTATTACTAGTACTTTGCATGTCTTTATCTCACTTTAGTTTTCTCTTTTTAAGTTTTTGGCCTATTGTTTATTCCTGTGAAGAAATCTCTAATTTTTTGTATTTCCCATTCTTAGTGACAACATTAGGAAAATTGTTTATAATATGTAAGCAGATTAATGCTTCAAGGTTATATTGTTAAATCTGAATATGCTTCCAAAATCATCATATTTTCTCCTGAGAGGTAGGAAGATTTAAATGTTTTATGATTTGGCTGGGTTTACCCAATACAGGTTAAAATAGAAATCTAAGGCAATTAAATAATTTGGAATCGAAAGCATTTCCAATAAAACATAATTTTGCATAATCTTATATATAATATAAATGTTTTATTGTCCTGATTCTTCTCAACTTTAAACTTGGATTTCCACTATATATTCATAACATTTTATAATTTAATTATAAAGGAATTTACATTATAATTTAGCACTTTACTTTCAAGAAGCTAAGGTTGCATGCCATTTTATAGGTTATATAAATAATCTCAAAGAGCTTAAATGTTTCCTATAGGGTCCCCAAGGAGCATCTTAAGAAAGCCTATTGTCCATTCTTCTTCACATCTTCTGTAAATTCTTTCCAGTATACTTATATATACAGCTCATTTTAAATAAATATTTTCATAGGTATTATTCAACTTCTATTAACTATATTAATTCTTAAATTGCCCAATTGTCTGGCAAGTAATAATGGCTTGATGATAAATTGTAACATTTTTCTTTAAACATCATTTAAAATAATGTTTAAAGATAAATTAAATAATTATATTAGCATCAATTTAAAGCATAGTTGACATTTGGAGAGAGAATGATTCATAGAATTAGTCAAATGTAGCCTGTTTTCTTGGGCTCTCTTGACTATCTCCAGTATTATTTTTGTAAACCACTGGAATCTTTAGTACTTCAACTTTTTCCTCTTGAATATAGACATTTTTATAACTGCTTATTGCATGACATTTTACCTAACCAATCTTTGTGATAACTAAGTTTTAGAGCCACAGTGTTATTTGAAGTTCGTGCTTAACCAAGAGAGGGAAGCATCACCTACAAGAAGCAGGCTACACACCTGGGCCAGCCCAATCCTATGACGATACCTTAGTGCGAATCGGGTTATTACATTCCACCAACTGGGCCTCACTCCTGAAGTCTCCGGATTTCTGCTATTATTACTTTAGAGATAATCAGAATTTGAAGTGGGTGCTCATTTACATTAACAAAACACAAAGAGACTGATAAAAATGCTAATAATGACAATGAATTTATATGCAGTTAAATACAATGAACAAGTGAATTGAATATGCATTTACCAATTTGCTTATTTTCTCCTTGTGGACGAATCCATATAAGAAGGCAAATTTTAATTGTAAGACTTCTTAGTGAACTTGGAAGCAGAGCAATGGCTATAATATAATGTTAACACCTACTGTCATCTATGTCAACTACTAGTTAGTATAGGCTGCTAAAAGGGCCCCACATTCATATTTAGGACATCCTCCACTCTAGCCAGAGCTTTAAGAAATGTTGCTTTATAGCTGGGCGCAGTGGTTCACGCCTGTAATTCCAGCACTTTGGGAGGCTGAGGCGGGCAGATCATGAGGTCAGGAGATCAAGACCATCCTGGCTAACAGTGAAACTCCGTCTCTACTAAAAATACAAAAAATTAGCCGGACGTGGTAGAGGGCGCCTGTAGTCCCAGCTACTCGGGAAGCTGAGGCAGGAGAATGAGATCGCGCCATTGCACTCCAGCCTGGGCGACAGAGTGAGATTCCGACTCAAAAAAAAAAAAAAGAAAAAAAAAAAAGAAATACCGCTTTGTGTATGTATGTATTTATTTATTTTCCAACCTCCCCTTGTCTGTGCCAGCACTGGCTCTGATGGACTCTTTCCTTCTTTTAGCTATTAATAATTTTATTTAGACTACCGTCAACACTTAGACGTGTTCTTTATTCTGTAAGAGTACATATTTTATTGCTTATCTCTCAGAGGGAAAAATCACTGCCCTCTCAGCTGTTTGGTTTGGAAAACTTTATTGATGATAATAACTTTCTAGCAATGTGAAAAAATAAATATTTTCTTAAATGTGTACGACTTACACACCTGGGCCATCAGAGGCTGAACTTCCAGCCTAAACTTTTACTTCAACATTTTCTTATATTTTCTAAAGTTCAATACAATGAATCATCAAAGCCTTTTAACTTTCCTCAACTCCACGCTCTCTGACTAGGTCACTGTAGGAGGCTAAAAGCCTTGCTAAGACCCTGCAGTTCTAAAAAACAAAATTAAATTTTGTAAATCTGTTTATACTTGCTTTTCCTATAAGTTTGAGTCTTACATTAGTCCCTTGAGACAGACATATCCCAACCAATTCACCATGTTTATCATAAATTCATCTTGTATTGCCTACTCTTACTGTATCAGGCCCCTTCCGCCTTCTTGTGCCTGTGGTTTTGTTTTCTCAGCAATTTCTAAAAACCAGGTATGGGCTTTTAGATATCTAATTCTAATATCTATGGACTAAACTTCAACATGTTTTTAATTAATATCACCGTCTTTGATCCCCTTTTATCTTCTTTGGTAAAGAAAAAGCCTTCTTTATTTTATTGTACTGATGACTTGGGTTCTCTTAAATAAGTGAAGAATTTTCACATACCATTGGATTTGGGCCTCATCTATTTTATAAATGCTTTAGAGGCCTGAGAATATCTTCAATTCCAAGAAAAATGTCTACATACTTGTCAGCCATCATCTCTTCTCTACCAGTTGAACATGCTATACCTAGGAAATCTGTCAATGCATTCATTTCTTTGACATTACTATTGCCTAACATTTCTTTATAAACTGAAAAAGTGACAGCACTTGTGAAATCCATATATGTGGTTGGCATGTGTCCCCTTCTTCATTCTTGCAAAGGAGCATAAGGAAATCTAGACGAAAGGTAAAGGTGCTACACATGGATCCATGTTATGTGACTAACTCCTAACCAGGAGAGAAAAGGAAAGCGATCAGAGTTTTAGCGTAACACCCCACACTGCATTTTCTACAATAAGAATAATAGCATCTGTCTGCAACCATCTCACTTAGTGGCTACCAAGAAAACAATAAGTTGAAGAAACATGTAATGTCCTCTGAAATTGTTCGAAGGAGAAAAACTCGAGTGTCATTCCAGGGAGAAGTTTAATTTACATGTCATGCAACAATAGTGGTATCATTTTTTGTTTTCTTAGTTTGTGACTTTGCTATATACATTCTTAGATTTTTGCCAGTGGACTCTCTTGGTCCCCTATCTTCTCCTCAAAAAAGGAAACAAAACAATGAAAAAAACTACACATGTACACAGACACATGCATACAAACACATCATTAGAGTAAACCTTACAATTACTCCATTCATATCTTCTTATCTAGAAATGCGATCTCATTATTTGAGGAGACAGCTAAAGTGTTCTAGGTAAAGTTTGTATAAAATTTCCATTGCTGTTAGAACTCAGTAACTTATTTTTTTAATTCTGGAAAGCAAAATCACACTGAATATTGTAATTAGCCAACTAGTAGACAGATTTGTGATTTCTAAAAGCCCAAGAAGTGAGATTGTATTGATATTAGTGACACTAGAAGGAATTCCTGCTCACTTGAAATCCCACAGCACTATATTTGCAATTCTTTATTATTTTACCTTGTATTACAATAATGATTTACCTTATTAGGCTGTGTGCTCCTTGAATATTGAGTCCACATCACATGCAAATTAATATCACTTACAGTGCCTTACACTTGGAATGAGCTTACTCATTATCATTGATATAATTTATATCAACAATTGATATCAACTCATACTCCTTGATACCAATGAACATCAATATTTGTTGTATAAGTGTCTAAGAGCAATAAACAAGGATCATCTCTATCTTGAGGTAAAATAAAATATAATAGTATGAGCATGGATCATAAAGTTGCTTTGCCAACCTTTACCATCTGAAATTGAACATGCTCAAAGTTTTTCCAGAATGTTAGGTTTACAGTATATAATGTGTGAAAATATTGTATGTAAGTTTAGAGAAATCTTGCCAAGCAGATAGGTCTTAACTTTGAGTACCTCCATCGTGGTCTAAACCTTAGCTACTTGTGTATCTATTCCATGACTTGCCATAACCTCCTAACAAAAAAGTACAGAAGGAGAGACCATGAGTTCCTGACTACCATTTGGAGAGACAATTAAAGGGGGAAAATATGTATCTATATAAACATACATATATATACACACATATATATGTATGTATATATATAACATGATTCTACAAGCAAGCTTTTAGTTCTTGCACTAATGTCCCTGACAGGTTATATCCTAGATGGGATGGATCGGAGTCTCTGTCACGCTGATAAATTGAAGAGTATTTAAGTAGACTTTTTTTTTTTTTTTTGAGATGGTGTCTCGCTCTGTTTCCCAGGATGGAGCAGAATTGCACGATCTCGGCTCACTGCAACCTCCACAGCCTGGGTTCAAGCAATTATCCTGCCTCAGCCTGCTGGATAGCTGAGATTACAGGCACACACCACCATTCCCGGTTAATTTTTGTATTTTTAGTAGAGATGGGTTTTCGTCATGTTGGCCAGGCTGGTCTCAAACTCCTGACCTCAGGTGATCCAACCACTTCGGCCTCCCAAAGTGCTGGGATTACAGGCCTGAGCCATCAGGCCCGGACTTTAAGTAGACTTTTTGAATTTTATATTTCATAGTTTCAGAGTCTAGGTACAGTCCTTTAGGTTTTTGAAGTAAGTTGGCCAAAGATGTGTAGAAATGAAGATATCTTGGGACTTGGCAATATTTGAAGGCTTGCTTGTCACCTGATCTTCAGAGATGCATGCTGTGATCCAAGCTTAAGCTATTCTGTGTGACTGTACTGGGCAAAGATGGTGTTTAATTGACACTGATTGAGCAGTGATTAACACAGGAATATTGAAAACATCTTCTAATATTTGTTTCTTTGAGAAGAAATTTGAGGGACTCTACTGAACCTTGAAAAGCATATGATTATATATATAAAATCATAATATACATAATCATAATATATATTTATATATTTATATATAACTTAGTAAAGAAGAAATCTTATACATGGTTGAAAGGAATTTTTCCCAGAGGAAGTGTCAGAACATAGAGAGCCACAGAACTAAAGTGAAGTGGACTTAGACTTCTAAATGGATTAGCCTTGGTTAAGGCCCAATTATTTGAAGAATTGAAACATGACAGAAATAAGGAGAAGCTAAGAAATAAAAGGACGATGACCAGAAAAAAAAAAAAATAAAGGATTTACTTCCCTCATTGCAAAAACAATACAGGCATTTATGGAGACTGAGGGAAGTAGTGAAAGAGTTCTCTAAAAGGATAGTCTGTTTTATGTATGCAAAGGCAAAGAATATATCACTGTTAGGGGGTTAGACATCCTATTTGAAACCTAATCATAACCTCTGTAAGAAAGTATAATTAAAAATGAACTAAAAACATCTTGTACAGATACCATTCTAGACGGATAAAAGAAACAAAGCACTGGTGGCTTCTAGAAAGTGGCAACAGCAGGCACTGAATGCTGCCGGTAAACCAAGAAAACCCAACCAGGAAACTGGACGAGACAGATGGGGAATCATGCCTCCCTGAAAAATGAATAGGAAATCTCTCCCACATTATTCCAGGTTGAACTCAATGTATGCAGGTCTCAGTTGCCAAAGTAAATGTCCTTATTGGTGAGTGTAACATTCCAAAAATAGAATGTATGCATCTTAAGCTCTGTGGGATTCTCTGTCAATGGCTTTGCCTCAGGGCTCCACATCTGCCAATCCTGGATCAAAAAGATCAAGGGCAAAAGAAGGGGAAGTGTATTAGAGAAGGGAGTGATTCATTGACCTTTCAGATAAAGTTAACTAAAAAAAAAAAAAAAAAAGAGAAGAACACCTATGAGTAAATGGTACCTGCAATAGTTTCTAGAAATATATAATATTTTTTGATTATAAAAAACTCTGCTTAATGCTGTGTGAATTTCATTTTATTTTATTTTTTGTCTAGAGGGCAAAATATGTTTCTCTGAGATAAACGCTAACTTGGAAAAGAATCTGTAAATGTTCATAAAATGCAGTATTAAGAGATTGCAGAGTTTAAAAATATATTTGATAATTTGGGAAAGTCACCTTCAGATGAATGACTGGTACTGCTTAACTGGAAACAGAAAATCCCATTGTTAAAATTGTGAGTTTTTGTGCATGTGCTTGGTCTATGTGTCTCCTCATTAGAATCTTCATGTTTTTGTCAGCTTGTTATTTCTTACTTTCCTCAATGGAATAAGATGGAGCTTTTTAGCAGTAAAAGTGTACACATACTAATATGATTATTACAATCAGCAGATTATTTTACTGGAAAATGAGTTTAAATAATTATATCAATTTTTCATATGGATTAAATATGCTTAATCAACATTTAACTTTCTCACATATAATAATTTTTCCCTTTCGTGGCAATTCCATTTTGCATTTCACATGTGATTTCTTGATTTTTGACACTTGATGCTGCTTTAGTTAGTATTATTATTTTTATGGCTGGTTTTATATTTCAAGAGTAATATTCCTGCCTTTCAGGAAATGATTTTTCTTTCATGTTAAAAGCAGAAATTATGTAGAGCTGGAAATTAGTCAGAGATAAAGAGCTAGAAATGTTAAACATTTCTAGCTTATATCTCTTACTAGTCAGGTAAACACTTTTATGTCTCTTTGGAATCTTGCATTGTGGCTCAAGGTATAAATCAAAGGAAATCAAACAACTGCCTCCCTTCTTTAGAAACAACAGCCTAAAATAAGTAATTTTAAGAAGTTTCTACTGTTATTTTATATTAAAAATAAAAGATGAGAATAGTGCAAAGCATTTTAATGAATAAAATTGTTATTTTTCACCTCTGAGATGTTCTTACCTGAATATGTCAACTAAAATAACCTGATTTTATGTTTGGTGACTTTGGATATGTGTAAGTGAACATATGAGTTTGTGTGTGTGTCTGAGCATTACTTTAAAACAAATAAATTTTATATTATATGGAAAAATTACAGTACTATTACTAGAGAATGCTACATTATTGCATGCAAAAGTTTTGGAGAGCTGCTAGGTAACAAATCCGAGATATTAACTTTTTCTTTATGTAAAAGACTTTGTACATACACCCAAAATGTCTGAAAATAGCAAAGTATAAATATAATGTGAATCTTATTAATATTTACATAATTAAACACATTATCATCCACACATATTGTATCCTTAAAAATTGCTAGTATAAGATTATAGTATGATGTAGGAACAATTCAGTGTACACATATTTAACCTTTTAATGGTAGGTTCCAAGTATCCTCAATAACATAACAGCAAAAGAAAATCTGCATTTGTCACGATACTATTTCATAGAAACAGAAATGGAAAGAAAGTTGAGATTCTGTTGAAAGGGATGTGAGCAAAAGAAAGAACTAACTGAGAAATGATATGGCATCACAGGAAGTATTTGAAGTATTCTACAAATACGTTTTATCATAGCTGCCATAATTTGTCAGATCATCTCTTAAGGCAATCTTTAAACTTTCTCTCAAAACCTAGGCTTTCATTTTAGGCTTTGCTATTCTTGCTTATAATATTTTGTCCTGCATAAAACTGACAATAAAGCAGCTATTTTATGTCATCAATTTATCGTTACATATTTATTCTATAACTAGTCACAAAAACTGCATATAGACTTCTCACGTTATATAGTTTGTCATTTTAGTAACCTTTCTAAGTCTAACAAATAATCAATAGAATGTGGTTTCACAGCCTCTCCAGCATCCGTTATTTTTTAAATTTGTAATAATAGCCATTCTGACTAATGTGAGATGGTATCTCATTGTGGTTTTAATGTGCATTTCACTGATGATTAATGATGTTGAGCACTTTTTCATAAGTTTGTAGAATGCTTATGTATCTTTTTTTGAGAAATGTCTGTTCACGACTTTTGCCTACTTTTTAATAGAGTTCTTTGCTTGTTGATTTAAGTTCCTTATAGATTCCGGACATCAGACCTTTGTTAGATGAATACTTTGCAAATATTTTATCCCATTATGTAGGTTGTCTGTTTATTCTGTTTATAGTTTCTTTGCTGTGAAGAAAATATTTACTTTAATTAGGTCCCAATTGTCCATTTTTTGTTGTCGTAATTGCTATTTGGGGACTTAGGAATTCTTTGCCAAGGCCAATGTTTAGATGGCATTTCTTAGGTTTTCTTCTAGAATTTTTGTAGTTTGAGGTCTCACACTTAAATTCTTAATCAATTTTGAATTAATTTTTGTGTGTAGTGAAAGGTAAGGGTCCAGTTTTATTCTCTTGCATATGGCTAAACCAGTTATCCAGGCACCATTTATTGAATAAGTGGTGCTTTTCCCATTGCTTATTTTTGTTAATTTTGTGGAAGATTAAATGGTTGCAGATGTGGTGCTTTATTTCTGTGTTTTTTACTCTGTTCCATTTGTCTAGATGTCTTTTTCTGTACCAGTAGCAAGCTGTTTTGGTTGCTATAGCCTAACAGTATAGCTTGAAGCCGGGTAGTATGATTCTTCCAGCTTTGTTCTTCTTTTAGGATTGCTTTAGCAACTTGGGCTCTTTTTTTGTTCCAGATAAATTTTAAATAGTTTTTTTTTTTTTCTAATTGATGTTTGTAGTTTGTGAGGAATAGCATTAAATCTGTAAATGTCTTTGGATGGTATGGTCATTTTAATGATATTTATTTTTCCAGTCTTTGAGCATGGAAAGTTTTTCTATTTGTTTGCATTATCTATGATTTCTTTCAGCAGTGCATTGTAGTTCTATTTGCAAAGATCTTGCCTCCTTGGTTAGCTCTATTCCTAGGATTGCTTTTGTGTGGCTATTATCAGTGGGATTGCATTCTTGATTTGGTTCTTAGCTTGAACATCATTAGAGTATAGAAACGCTACTGATTTTTGTACATTGATTTTGTGTCTTGAAATTTCCTGAAGTTCTAGGAGCCTTTTGATGCAGTCTTCAGGGTTTTCTATATGCAGAACTATATCATCAGTGAAGAGAGATAATTTGGCTTCTTGTTCTATTTGCATACTTTTTATGTCTTCCACTTGCCTGGTTGCTCTGGCTAGGACTTCTAGTACTATGTTGAATAGGAGTGGTGAGATTGGGCATCCTTGTCTTGTTCCTTGTCTTAAGTAAAAGGCTTCCAACTTTTGCCTGTTCAGTATAATGTTGGCTGTGGGTTTCCCATGGAAGGCTGTTATTGTTTTGAAGTATATTCCTTCAATGCCTAGTCTGTTGAGAGTTTTTATCATGAAATAATGATGGATTTTATTGAAAGCTTTTTCTGCATCCATTGAGGTGATCATTTTTTAATTCTGATAAGATGGTAAATCACATTTATTGATTTGCATATGTTGAACAAACCTTGCATCTCAGGAATAAAGCCTGCTTCATCATGGAGAGTACCTGTACTATACTGAATTACTTTGGCACTCTGTATAAAATTAGTTGTCTGTGGGGGTCCAACTCTGGATGCTCTACTTTTACTCATTGATGTATTTGTTCATTCTTTTGCCAATACCATACTGTTTTGGTTATGAAAACTTTTTAATAATTTCTTGAAATAGAGTAGTTTGATTTGTCTATGATGCAATTTAATTATACTGTTTACAATAGTATATAGTACAACATACAGAATTATATACTGTATAGTGTGTTTATGTGGAAAGATATTGCAAGTTATTTGAGAGCATCAACATGATCTAGTGATTTGAAGGTTCTTATGCTAATGCTCTATTAGTAACACAAGAAACCATTTACTAGGGATGCATCTAGTCCTTTTAATGTATCTGTATTCATAAGCATCCATATGTTGGTTCACTCACTTTTACATCTTGATAGAAATCAGAGCTTTTGATGGAATAATGGCATGACATCACAAACATGGACAAAAGCAACATAAATCTTACCAATTTTGTTTTGCCTGGAAACAAAAATATTTTAAAATATACTTTGACTTGTGTTGAAAATAAAAACAAAAATGCAATTTAGAAAGAATATCCACTGGAAAACTAATTACTAAAATTTGCATATATAAATCTAAGTACATGTTATATATGCATGCATGCACTTTCACATGCCTCCTCCTTGTTAGATGTAAATGTAGATATTGCTGTTGCTTTTTAACAATTAAATTACCACAGATTGTAAAATTTGGGGGTGGGGGCACAGGCATGTCACATTGTAACCTATAAGAAGTATCATTTTATAAATTATTAATGGAATAGACCTAAGTCATTATAACAGTAATAATATAAAATTGTAACAAAAATACTGGTTTCTAAAATCAACTAAAATGCTATATGTAAATGAATCTTTCCTTGGTAGAAAGGACAACATATAAAAGTAGATTTGAAAATTCATAGTTTTATCATGTTAATTTTAAGTAAAGGAATATTGGAAGGAGGTATTTCCTTTACCTAGATATATAGTCTAGTTAGTCTAGTTGACTATATCTTTATCTATATATATTAGAAGCATATATACCTAGATCTACATCTAGATCTAGATCTATATATATTGGAATGATATATATCCTTCTAGTCAACTGGACTATTTAGGCTATATATCTAGATAGTCAAATTGACTATCTAGACTCTAAAGTAGTTTGGCACTGTGAAGATAAATTCTGTACAATTGTTTGCAGATGTATTATTTTTGTCAATAGTGTCTTACTATACATCTCTTTTATACCAAGTGTATTTTTAATAAAATGCTTAGTTCCTCCTAAGTCACATTTACTTTTGTTCTCTGTAAAGCAATCTGTTAATCATCAGGGATGCTTCCTGTGGAAGTGTTCTAAAGTATCCAGCCAACTTTTTTTTTATTTTTATTTTTTGTTTGTTTTTGAGAGGGAGTCTCGCTCTGTTGCCCAGGCTCCAGTGCAGTGGCGCAATCTCCACTCACTGCAAGCTCCGCCTCCCGAGTTCACACCATTCTCCTGCCTCAGCCTCTGGAGTAGCTGGGACTACAGGCGCCTGCCACCACGCCTGGCTAATTGTTTTTTGTATTTTTAGTAGAGACGGGGTTTCACCATGTTAGCCAGGATGGTCTCGATCTCCTGACCTCGTGATCCTCCCGCCTTGGCCTCCCAAAGTGGTGGGATTACAGGTGTGAGCCACCGCACCCGGCCCCAGCCAATTTTAAAAGGGAAGAATCACAGGTACAATTACAGTGAAAAATCTGAAACTGATGATGGTCTTAACCCACTACAACATCTGGAGTTTATTTTTTTAAATGGTCCAAACGACTACCACTTTTACATTTTAGCATTAGTATAGAGAAATATTAAGTTACAGATGGCATAGTTATTTTTATATATGACCAGAGATCTTTAATATATCATATTACATTGAAATGGTTCAGACATATGAGCTTCCCCAAACATAAAATTCATTATGTAATTCCTGGGTCATGTTCTCAGAGGTTAGCATAACATGGAGCTCAAGTATTATTAACCTTGAAACATAAGGACAATATGAAATATAAGGGAAATAAAGAGAAAATCAATTCTCTTTAAGAAACTTGGTACACTTGTCATATATTTTTTCTAAAAAATAATGCCTGTATTCCAATTAACTTTAATGTATTTCAGTATAATTACTGTAAAATTAAACAGATTTATAGTTAGATGCATAGATAGATATGACTATTTTCAGAAAGCATACTACCTTTCTGGGCTTTTATATTATATTATATATTTATTTATTAAAATACGGGCTTAAGGCAAGGCGTGGTGGCTCATGTCTGTAATCCCACCACTTTGGGAGGCTGAAGTGGGCAGATCACAAGGTCAAGAGATCGAGACCATCCTGACCAACATGGTGAAACCCCATCTCTACTAAAAACACAAAAATTAGCTGGGCATGGTGGTGCACGCCTGTAGTTCCAGCTACTCGGGAGGCTGAGGCAGGAGAATCACTTGAACCTGGGAGGTAGAGGTTGCAGTTAGCTGAGATGGTACCACTGCACTCCAGTCTGGTGACAGAGTGAGACTCAATCTCAAAAATAAAAATAAAAATAAATAAATAAAAAATACAGGCTTCAATATATATATATACGAAGAAAGAAAAGCTGCAAATCTTCTAGTAATCTTGATGATTAGTAAAATTGTAGATAAAACATAAAAATAAGTAATAATATAAAAACAGCAAAATAAAAAATATATAAATATAAAATAGTGAATCAATTAAATATTTAAATATAGCATATCAACAAAGGCATGAGTTGTTTCTTGAATACATTTAAAAAATTGATAAATCCCTGGGTAGATTACTCTAAAATCAATGAAATTGTTAAAATAATTCTTACTTTCAGTATAAAAGCCACAACACAGCCTACAAATATACAAAATTAATAATATTATGAATATTATGAACCTATGCTTATGATAAATTTGTCAACAAACTTAAAATGAAAAATTGCTTCAAAATACAATGTTATAAAATTTACAGAAATCATGAAAATATGCAATTACAAAATTAAGATAATTTAATCCATTATTAAGCTTTATTCATAAAAAAATCACCAGCAAAGTAAATTCACCATTGAATTATTTCAATCATTGAAAAAAGAAATAACACCAATCTTACCCCCAACTTCCCAGGTAATAAAAGAAAATTAAAAAAAAATTTGCAAGGTATTTTATAAATCCATCATAACCTTGAAACTAAAATCTGACAGACATTATAAAAAGACAAAAGTCAAATATCTATATGTACATATACTTATCTCATGGGTAAATATAGTAAATTCCTAAACAAACTCATGTAATATATAACAGGAGATTTATGAAAAGAAATGATATGTAAAAATGATAATCTATCAAGATCCATGGAATTTATTTCTCAAATTCATGCATGATATGAAATTTCAAAAATAAAGAAAAAAAGCTATGTAATTTTCTCAGTGAATTCAGAAGCCATCTGTACTGAAATAAATTTGTGTTAACTTTCAACAGAAGTGATCTAATTTCTTTTTGAATTTTTATGGGTACATATTATGTGTATATATTTATGGGGTACATTATTGCCTGTCTTCTGGATAAAAGCCGTTTTAACTGGGGTGAGATGATATCTCATTGTAGTTTTAATTTGCATTTATCTGATACTCAGTGCTGTTGGGTACCTTTGAATATACCTGTTTGCCATTTGTATTATTCTTGGAGAAATGTCTATTTAGATATTTTGCCTATTTATTAATTAGATTATTAGATTTTTTAACATAAAGTTGTTTGAGCTTCTTATAGATTCTGATTATTAATCCCTTGTCAGATAAATAGTTTGCAAATACTTTTTTTTCCCATTCTGTGAGTTGTATCTTCACTTTGTTGATTGTTTCCTTTGCTATGTAGAATCTTTTACCCTTGATGTGATTCCATTTGTCCATTTTTGCTTTGGTTGCCTGTGCTTTGGGGTATTACTCAAAAAATCTTTGCCCAGAGCAATGTCTTTCATAGTTTAGTAGTTGCAGGTCTTAGATTTCAGTCTTTAATTAATTTCGATTTTTTTTTGTACATGGTGAAAGTCTAGTTTCATTCTTCTGCATATGGAATATGCAGAATGTACATCATTCTTCTGCATATGGAATATGCAGAATGTACATCATTCTTCTGCATATGGGGTATTCAGTTTTCCCTGCACTATTTATTTAAGAGACTGTATTTTTCCCAATAAAGTCTCTTGGTACTTCTGTTTATATGAATTCACTGTTATGAATTTATTTCTGGCTTCTCTATTCTGTTCCATTGGTCTTTGTGTCTGCTTTTATGCCAGTACCATGCTGTTTGGTTACTATTGCACTGTAGTATAATTTGAAGTCAAGTAACATACTTCCTCTAGTTTTGTTCTTTTTGCTCAGGATGTTTTTGGCTGTTCTGGGTTTTTTCTGATTCCATATCAATTTTAGAATTATTTTTCTATTTCTCTTTTTTTGCTTTTTTCCATCTTTTATTTTAGATTCAAGGGTTTCATGTAGAGGTTTGTTACATGGGTAAATTGTGTCAGTTAATTTTGTCACTCAGGTAATCTGCATACTACTCGACAGTTTTTAAAACCTCACTCTCCTCCCATCCTCTGCCCATAAGTAGACCTTGGTGTCTATTGTTCCCTTCTTTGTGTTCATTTGTACCAAATATAAGTGAGAAAAGACAGTATTTGGTTTTATGTTTCTGCATTAATTCACTTAGGATAATGGCCTCCAGCTCCATCCATGTTGCTGAAAAGGATATTATTTCATTCTTTTTTATGGCTGTGTAGTATTCCATGGTGTATATGTACCACAGTTTCTTTATCTAGCCAACCACTGACGGACATTTATTAAATTGGCACAAATGTAATTGCCAACCCATAGGATGATTCAGTGTCTTCGCTATTGTGAACAGTGTTGCAATGAACATACACATGCGTGTGTCTTTATAATAGAACGACTTATATTCCTTTGGGTATATACCCAGTAATGGGATTACTAACTCGAATGGTAGTGCTGCCTTTAGCTCTTTGAGGAATCACCATAATGCTTTCCACAATGATTGGACTAATTTACATTCCCACCAACAGTGTATGAGTGTTTTCTTTTCTCCACAACCTCACCAGCATCTGTTTCTTTGGCTCTTTAGTAATAGCCATTGTGACTGGTGTCAGATGGTATCTCATTGTGGTTTTGATTTGAATTTCCCTAATGATTAATGATGTTGAGAACATTTTGTTATGCTTGTGCCTATGTGTATGTCTTCCCTTAAGAAGTATCTGTTCATGTCCTTTGCCTTTTTTATGGGGCTGTTTGTCTTTTGCTTGTTAATTTAAGTTCCTTATAGATTATGGGTTATTTGTTCTTCGTGGGATACATAGTTTGCAAATATTTTCTCCCATTCTGTGGGTTGTCTGTTTACTTTTGATTTTTTCTTTTGCTTTGCAGAAGTTATTTAATTGGGTCTCATTTCTCCATTTTTATTTCTGTTGCAATTGCTTTCGATGTCTTCATCACAAAGTCTTTGCCACGGCCAATATCCAGAATGGTATTTCCCAGGTTTTCTTCTAGAGATTTTATAGTTTTAGGTTTTACAACTAAGTCTTTACTCCATGTTGATTTTATTTTTGTATATGGTGAAAATTAGGGGTCCAGTTTCAATTTTCTGCATATGGCTAGCCATTTATCCAGCACAACTTATTGAACAGTGAATTTTTTTCCATTGATTTTTATTGTTGGCTTTGTTGAAGATCAGATAGTTGTAGTTGCATAATTTTGTTTCTGCATTCTCTATCGTGTTCCATTGGTTTAGGTGTTTGTTTGTAACAGTACCATACTACTTTGGTTAATGTAATCTTATAACATAGTTTGAATATGGGCAATGTGATGCCTCTGGCTTTACTGGTTTTGCTTAATATTGATTTGGCTATTTGGGCTCTTTTTTGGTTCCAAATAAATTTTAGAATAGTTTTTTTTTATTCTGTAAATATATCATTGGTAATTTTTGATAGAATTGCATTGAATCTATGAATGGCTTTGGGCAATATAGCCATTTTAATAATATTGATTCTTACTATCCATAAGCATGGAAAGTTTCTCCATTTGTTTGTGCCATCTCTGATTTCTTTCAACAGTGTTTTTAATTCTGATTTTAGACATCTTTCACCTCTCATGTTACCTGTATTCCCAGGTGTGTGTGTGTGTGTGTGTGTGTCTATTGTGAATGAGGTTGTGTTCTTGATCTGGCTCTCAGCTTTGCCATTATTGGTGTATAGATGCTGCTGATTTTTGCACCTTGATTCTTTATCCTAAAGCATGCTGAAGTCGTTTATCAAATGTAGGATTCCGGGTAGAAATTATATGGTTTTCTAAGTATAGAATCATATCATCTACAAAAAAAAGATGGTTTCACTTCCTTTCTTCCTATTTGGGTACTTTTTATTTATTTCTCTTACCAGATTGCTCCATCTTGGTCTTCTAGTACTATGTTAAATAGAAGTGGTGAGAATGGGCATCCTTGTCTGGTTCTAGTTCTCATGGGGAATGCTTCTAGCTTTTGCCCATTCAGTATGACAGTGGGTCTACCATAAATGGCTGTTCGTATTTTGAAGTATGTTTCTTTAATGCCTAGTCCTTTAGGGGTTTTCACATGAAGGGATGTTGGATTTTATCAAAAGCCTTTTCTGTTTCTATTGAGATCTTCCTTTGGTTTTTGTTTATAATTCTATTTATGTGATGAATCACATTTATAAGTTTGCTTATGTTAAACCAAACTTTAATTCTAGGAATAATGCCTATGCACTCATGTGAATTAGTTTTGTGATGTTCTTTTGGATTTGTTTTACAAGTATTTTATTGAGGATTTTTGCTTCCATGTTAATCAGAGATATTGGCTTTCTTTTTTATTGTGTCTTTTTTATAATATTTCTTTTTTTACTGTGCCTCTCCAGGTTTTGGTATCAGAATGATGCTGGCCTCATAGAAGGAGTTAGGGAGGAATCCCGCCTCCTTGATTTTTTGTAATCATTTCAATAGCATTGGTATCAGCTCTTCTTTTGTCTTCTGGTAGAATTTGGTTATGAATCCATCTGATCCAAGGCATTTTCAGGTTGGTAAGATTTTTTTTTAATTCATTCATTTTTTGAACTCATTATTGGTCTGTTTGGTTTTCAGTTTCTTCCTGATTCATCTTGAGAGGTTGTATGTTGTTAGGAATTTATCTATTACTTCTATGTTTTCCAGTTTGTATGCATGGAAGTGTTCATAATAGCTCCCAGTAAAATTTTTATATTTCTGTATTGTTGGTGGTAATGGTCCCTTTGTCATTTGTGATTGTGTTAATTTGTATCTTTTCCTCTTTCCTTATTAGTCTAGTTAGCACCCACCAAGCTAACACCACCTCCAATGCAACAATCTTATTTATTCTTTCAAATAACAAAGTTTTGCCTTTGTTGATCTTCTGTTTGTTTTTCTCATTTTCATTTCATTTAGTTCAGCTCTAATTTTGGACATCTATTTTCTTCTGCTAGCTATTGGGTTAGTTTGCTTTTGTTTTTCCAGTTCCTCTGGATGTGATTTTAGGTTGTTAATTTGAGATTTTCCTAACTTGTTGATGTGTATGTTTAGTGCTATAAACTTTCTTCTTAACAACGCTTTAGCTGTGTGCAAGAGATTGTGGTATGTCATATCTTTATTTTCATTAGTTTCAAGCAATTTTTTGATTTCTGCCTTGATTTCATTGTTCACCCAAAATTCATTCAGGACCAGATTGTTTAATTTCCATTTAATTTCACGGTTTTGAGAGATCTTCTTGGTACTAATTTTCATTTTTGTTGCACTGTGGTCTGTCAGTGTGTTTCGTATGATATCAAATTTTTTAAACTTGGTTGAGTTTTTTTATAGCTAAGTGTGTGGCCAATTTTAGAGCATATTCCATGGGCAGATAGTCAGAACTTATATTCTGTTGTTGTTGAGTGGAGTTTTCCACAGTTTTTTTTGTTTGTTTGTTTGTCTTAGATGGAGTCTTCCTCTGTCGCACAGGCTGGAGTGTAGTGGTGCAATCTCGGCTCACTGCAACCTTCACCTCCTGGGTTCAAGTGATTCTCCTACTTCAGCCTCCTGAGTAGCTGGGATTACAGATGCGCGCTACCATGCCCAGCTAATTTTTTGTATTTTTAGTAGAGACGGGTTTCACCATGTTGGCCAGGCTGGTCTCAAACTCCTGACCTCAAGTGATCTGCCCAACTTGGCCTTTCAAAGTGCTGGGACTACAGGCTTTAGCCACCGTACCTGGCTCATACATATTCTTAAGTCCATTTGATCATTTGATTAAGTGTAGAGTTTAGGTCCCAAATATCTTTTTATATATACATATATATGTGTGTGTGTGTATATATATATACACACATATATATAAATATATGCATATATAAATATATATACATATATAAATATATATACATATATAAATATATACATATAAATATATACACAAATATATACATATAAATATATATACACAAATATATACATATAAATATATATACACACGTACATTCATATATGTATATAAGATATAAGTATATATACATATATACTTACATATACAAATATATAAGATATACATATATATAAATATGTGTGTGTATGTGTGTGTGTGTATATATATATATATATATATGGTGTCTCATTCTGTTGCCCAGGATGGAGTGCAATGGCATAATCTTGGCTCACTGCAACCTCAACCCTACAGGTTCAAGCGATTCTTCTACCTCAGCCTCCCAGGTAGCTGGGAGTATAGGTGTGTGCCACCACGTCCAGATAAGTTTTGTATTTTTAGTAGAGACAGGGTATTGCCATGTTGGCCAGGATGATCTTAAACTCCTGATCTCTCAAGTGATCCACTTGCCTTGGCCTCCCAAAGTGCTGGGATTATAAACGTAAGCCACTGCGCCCAGCCAGGTCCCAAATATCTTTGATACTATTCTACCTTGATGATCTGTCTAATACTGTCAGTGGGGTATTGATTATGTAGTTGCTTCTTAGTCCTAATGGTCTATGTACCTAAGTAGGATATTGTGGTGGCTGGTAATGGTCTTTCTTTTCCATATTTAGCACTCCTTTATGAAACTCTTGTAAGGCAAGTCTAGTGGTAATAAATTTCCTTAGCATTTGCTTATCTAAAAAGGATTTTATTTCTCCTTTGCTTATGAAGCTTAGTTTGTCTGGAGATAAAATTCTTGGTTGGAATATCTTTTCTTTAGAGATGCTGAACATGGGCCTTCAACCTCTTCTGACTTCTAAGGTTTCTGCTGAAAGGTCCACTGTTAGCAAGATGGAATTCCGTCTGTAGGTGATGCATCCCTTCTCTCTAGCTTCCCTTAAGATTTTTTCTTTAGCATTGAGCCTGGAGAATCTGATGACTATTTGTTATGAAGATGATCATCTTCTATAGTATCTTGTAGGGGTTCTCTGAATTTCCTGTATTTGGATGTCGACACCTCTAGTGAGGTTGGTGAAACTTTCATGGACAGTATTATTAAATATATTTTCCAAATTGTTTACTCTCTCTTCCTGTCTTTCAGGGACACTAATGAGTCATAGGTTTGGTCTCTTTACATGATCTCATATTTGGGGGAGTTTTTCTTCCTTTTTAAAATCATTTTTTTCTTTATTTTAGTCTGAATGAGTTAAAGAACTGACCTTCAAGCTCTGAGATTTTTTTCCTCTGCTTCATCTATAGTCCTGTCAATAATTTTAATTGTGTTATGAAATTCTTGTAGTGAGATTTTTAGCTATATTAGATTTGTTGGATTATTTCTTAAAATCGTTATTTTGTCTTCCATTGCTTGAATTATTTAACTGGATTCTTTAGAATCCTTGGAATAGATTCAACTTTCTCCTAAATCCCAATGATCTTCATTGTCATCCTGATTCTGACTTCTGTGTCACTCATTTGAACCACTACATTCTGGTTATGAACCACTGCTGGGGACCTAGTGTTGTATTTGGTAGTCAAAGAGACACTCTGGCTTTTATTGTTACTAGAGTTCTTGTGCTGGCTCTTTCTCATCTGTGTAAGCTGACTTTCCTTTAACTGTCATGCAATTTTTGAGTAGTCAGTTGGCTCTGTTTCTGGATGCTTAGAGAGAGCCAAAGTTATTTGCAGTCTTTATTCTTGGTTGAATTATTGGCCTTGGTTTCACAGGGTAGTATAAAATAACAAAGTACTTTTGATGTTGAAGCTTGGGCTGCAATCCAGTAGATGGCATTTAAGTGTAATGGCTGTTAGACAGGCTCTTAACCACCCAGCTACTTTGTATTTCTTTGCATTTGCAACTCTGCTTTCTCTCAGTGCTCTGAGAGTCTGGATTCATCTCTTACTTAAGTGCTGATAACAGATCTTGGGGGTTGGAACTTCCGGGCCACAAACCACAGCACTGGTGTGTGCTTAGGCTTTTTGTTCCTTCCTCAGCTTGGGGGAAGAGGAACTTGGACTTTGGTAGTGGCAATGGCAGAAGGCTTTTTATTTGTCGACTAGGGCTCCACCCAAGAGAAATGACGAGGAATTGCCAATCAGAACGATCAGCCAGGAGTTGAGCAACTGTGTTTCAGGCCTAAGCAATAGGGCCCTGCCTGATGAAGAGCAGGGAGGGCAGGGAGCTTATGGGAAAGATAGTCTGACCTCTTCCCTGTAAGGCAGCTTCTGCATGCTGGAGGTAGGGCTAAAGTCAAAAATTAACCAATGGTAACAAGAACACCCCGTGGTTAGATATTGATTGGTCCTTAATACCATTCTCCAATAACAGAAAACAAAGCTCCTTGGATAAATGACTTATTTTAGGGCTGTGATATAGAATATACATGGTAAGTCTGGAGCATTTTGCAGCATGCCAGTAAGCAAAAACTTGCTCCCTCACTCATCCCCCAAAAACCCATAATCATAGTATTATGCCAAAGGGATACAAGGACCAAATGAATGATAATAATGGACAAATCTGGGGAAATTTGAACAGCAATATATGTAATATGGTATTAGATTGTACTACCTTATATTAATATGTTGCTATAAAGTAAATATCCATTAACCCATACTGACATAAAAAATGACTACAGAAAAATTTTTTAAAAAGATAGAATATTTACAAAACACAGCAGAAAAATTCTAAATAAAATATGTAGATATTCCCCACTCTAGGAGGTGAGTCATAACTTTCCACTCTTAAATGTGGACTGGGCATTGTGATTTCCTTCTTGAGTACAATATTAAAAAGGGGGAAGGAGAGAGTTATTTTAGAGTAAAAAAACCTGAAAAAATACTATTTCAGCCAATGGAATAAGGAGAATATAAAACATGAAAAGTCAAATTGATAGCATGTATCCTTGTTGTGACATGTTGAGTATGGCACTTTATCTCTGTGGCCTTCTTTACCAAATCCCTCATACCATTTAATCATGAGGAAAACATCAGAAAAATCCAAATTGTGGGGCATTCCATAAAACACTTCAGCAGTGTTCTTCCCCACCATCAAGGTCATCAAAAATATGAAAAGTGTGAAAAACTGTTACAGCCAAAATGAGGCTGAGATTTAACATAATTAAATGTAATGTGGCATCCTGGATAGGATCCTAGAACACAAAAATGGCCTTAGGTAAAAACTAAGGTAATTTGAAAAAGTACAAACTTTAATTAGTAATGATGTATGAGTATTGATTCATTAGCTGTGACAAATTTAGCATACTAATGTGATATGTTAACAATACAGAAAAACAAGTTTGGAGCATATGAGAACTCACAATGCTTTTGTAAATCTAAAACTATGATAAAATTAAGTTCATTTTAAAATGTAATATAATTTGTCATTTTAATAGACTTTAAATATTCACATAATTAAATCACAGTATTTAATGCATAAAAAAGTATTAGACAATATTCAGCATATATTCAAGTTAAAAATTCTTAGCTGAGTATGGTAGCTTTTGTCTGTAATCCCAGCATTTTGGAACGCTGAGGAGGGAGGATTTATTGAGTTCAGGAGTTGGAGACCAGCCTGGGCCTGGACAACATGGCAAGAAATTGTCTCTACAAATATATATATAAATATAAATAAATAAATAAATAAATATGTGTGTATATATAAATATATATGTATATATACACACATACACACACACACACACATATATAATATATATATAAATTAGTCAGGCAAGGTGACACATGCCTGTAATCCCAGATACATGGGATGCTGCTGAGGTGGGAGGATCGCTTGAGCCCAGAAGGTCAAGATTGCAGTAAGCTTTGTTCTTGCCACTGCATTCCAGCCTAGATGACAGAGCAAGACCCTGTCTCAAAATAAATAAATAAACAAAAAAGCAACAAGCTAAATAAATAAATAAATAAAACTTCTCAGCAAACATGGAATAGAATAAAATGTTCTTATTCTGACAAAAAGTATCTGAAACATACCTATAGTCAATGTTATATTTTACAGTAATAGATGAAATATTTTACCCCTAAGATCAGGCAGAAAGAAGGCTAGAATGTTCTGTCTCAGAACCTGTACTTAACATTTTGTTGAAAGTTTTAGCAGAGCATTAAGATAAAAAACAAAGAAAATAAATACAAGCATATTGGAAAGGAAGAAATAAAATTTCCCACATTACAGATGACAATACTAACCTAGAAAATCCTACATAATCTGCAAAAGAAAAGCCCTGAATTAGTAAATGAGTTTAGTAAATTCATAGCATACAATGTAAAAAAATGTATAAATACATCTTATTTCTATATACTAACACTGACAAGTGGAAAGGAAAATTTTTAAAAACACTATTAGTGATAGGCCAAAAATCTAAATGCTGAGATATAAGTAACAAAATATGTGCAGGATCTGTGAACTGAAAACAAGAAACCAAAGACCCAAATAAATAGAGAAATAAACCATATACATGGATTGAAGACTAAAAGTATTGAAGAAGTCAGCTCTCCCCAAATAAGTAGATAAATGCAATATGTTTTGTTCTGTAGATAAAATGCAATGACAATAAAATCAACTAAGGATTTCCTTTTTATTTATCAGCAAGCCATTCCCAAATTTCTAATTAACGGTGTATGAACTAAACTTGCTAAAACCTTTTGAGAAAGCAAAATATAGTCAAGCGACTCTCATAAGTGAATATCAAACAAACTGTAATGTTACAATAATCAAAACAGTATGGTATTAGCAAAGTATAGACACAAAGATTGATGTAACGGAATAGAGAATCCAGAAAAAAGACCCACAAAAAAACATGGTTAGTTGATTTTTGACAGTAGGGAAAAAGTATAGCAATGAAAATGGGTAGCATTTTCAATAACTTGTGCTAATTATATTTATATACAATTTTAGAAATTGCAAACTAATCTATAGTGCCAGAAAACAGATCAAGGATTGCCTTGTAATTAGAAAATATGGAAGGTTGCATCGTTGAAGAAGGATTGAGATGTTTGATGTTTTTCTTTTATTAATGATTTATTGGGGCATATGTCAAAGCTTAACACATTTTCTACTTTAAATATATATAGTCTGTTGCTAAAGCTATAAACATAAAAAATTATAATAAGCAAAAATATCTTCATATTGTTATTTTAGTTTATGGTATTCATTAATTGTAAACTTTTAAAGATATATTTTAGCATATATAATATTTTTGAAAAGAATAAAATAATTATTGGACAAATATCTATCAGACTGTTTATTCGTGCTTATACCCTTTAATCCTTATTATTTATCTTCGAGACAGTAACTTTATTTTAGACATAGAGTCAGAGGTTCAGATAAATTAAGCAACCAACTACAATTCACAAAACAATATCAGAAGATTTTTGAAAAATATTTAACTGAACTTTTCTAATTACATGTATATCTCCTTAAGAATATTGGTTATATATCTGCATAGAAAATCATCCATATTTGTTACTTGAAAATATCACTCTAACTTTAATGTGAAGAACATGCTGAAAGGATGTGGTGGAAACAATTGGTTGCAGGAAGACCAACTAGGAGGCTATTTCGTTACTCAACGGAGATGACTCAATTGTAGTATAGACTAGGATAGTGGAATTGAAGAGAAATGAACGTATCCAAAATATATTTGTAAGAAATCTCATTTATGCCTATCCTAGTGACTCCAAAAGAGCATAAGAAAGTGGTTTGCATTGTGAAGAACAAGTGAAATTATTAATAATAACATCAATCATCTTTGTTTAACTTATTTGGGATTATTGCAATATATTAAAGTTACAGCCTCTAAATATTGCTTTTCTCCACTCTATCACTTAATTTAACTTACATTTATTAAGATCCTGTCTTGGCCAGGCACAGTGGCTCACGCCTGTAATCCCAGCACTTTGGGAGGCTGAGGCAGGCAGATCACCTGAGGTCAGGAGTCTGAGACCAGCCTTACCAATATGGAGAAACCCCATCTCTGCTAAAAATGCAAAATTAGCTGGGCGTGGTGGCGTATGCCTGTGATCCCAGGTACTTGGGAGGCTGAAGCAAGAGAATTGCTTGAACCCGGGAGGCAGATGTTGCAGTTAGCCAAGATCACGCCATTGCACTCCAGCTTGGTCAACAAGAGGAAAACTCTGAAAAAAAAAAAAAAAAAAAAAAAAAAAAACCACCTATCTTATTTATACTACTTAGCTAAGAAAATATAATTAAAAGCATGTTATTGCATACAAAATCTTAACAAATACCAAATCCAAAAACATTATTATCTGTGTGAATTACAGTTATAAATTTAATATCAACACCATCTGCTTTTGGAAATTACAATGCCTCAATCCCCTTTTTGTGTGATTCCTGGATACAGCCTGCGAATGAGAGGCACTAGTGAGGTATTTGTGAAGTGGAAGAAAAAGGGGGACTGTTATCCTCGAGAGGCAGTTGTAGACCTAGGGAATGTTCAAACAGCTCCAGGAAAGCTCTTGTGAAGCAATTGTTTTAGTGCTGTGGCTACTAAGGTGGCTGGCAGGGGCTTCCTCAGAATCATCGGTGCCCATGGTAATGGGGGAGCTTTCAGTAGGTTCTTGATATTCAGAACAGCTGCTGTGGAAGACCTCTAGTAAAACCAGTTGATTTGTTGCAGCAGAATAAGCCCTTCGATAGCAGCTTGTGGCTTCCTTGATCTTTCCTTTGCTCAACTCTTACAGCAGGTAAGCTTCTAGTTCCCTGTGTGCAACCTTGCATACTGGGAATACAAATAGTACCTTCTCCTCCTTACTGGATCCCATCTAATACAGTATCTAATTTCAGAAATTGCCAGACTACATAAAGCCCAGATCAGATGCATTGTTTGGTGTTTATTGTGCTTTCTCTTCATTCAGTATACTTGTATAAAACTTCTACAAGTGTTTACTAGACTTTTGAAAAATATATAGAGTTCTTTCCATTAGACTTACAATTTTTAAGCACTGAGATCTTTAACTTTGGATTTACAGTCCCTAGCACTGCAGGGCCTCTGCCTATTATCAGCAAATGTTGTGTATATTAAATGATAATTCAAATGTTTATAGTGTTAAGTGAATTTATCTTCACCCAGTTATCTACTATTATGCTGTGTATTTTGCAAATAATAAAAAGGGTGTATGACAATACTCACATGGACTGGAAAAGTATAAAGATGTGTTTTATGTAAAATTTTATATTATCCCAGCCTGGAATATAATAAAAGAATCTCTGAAACAAATATTGGGGAATTAATGGTGTGAAGCCACAGCTTGATTATTTTCAACACGTCTAAAGTTTGAGTAACCCATAATAGTTTTTGATAACTTAAAAAAGCGGGAACTTCTTTTATTCACTTAAAAGAGAAATGTGAAATGAATTCCATGAAGAAAAAACTACCCGAGGGATATTCTGAATTCTGCTATATAAAAGGTTCACCCATTTTCCTTTTATTAGCTTTGTAGACAGAAATGCAAAATTAACTAACCATGAAATTCAACACCACACCAAACAGTAACAGATGCCTGACTTTGCAGTTGCTGGAGCAAAAACCAACGAATATATTTCAAGAATTGGAAGAGAGAACATTTTGCTTCCTTTGAAAATTCAAACATTTGCATGCTTTAAACATACCCATTTAGAAAATATTCATTTTAAATGTACACTCTAGATCATTGGTGCAATATAGGAAACATTTCAAAACTCATTGGAGCATTGATCATATGTCAGACTTGCTATTATACATTGTAGACAACAGTGATAATCACATATACTTTACTGAATATAATTAAATACCGCATCTTTATGTGTGTTATTGTAGATCCACCTGCAAGGACTACATCTCTTTCAGATGAGATATTAAAATTAAGCAAAAATTTTATCTGTATTTAATGTGATGATTAAAGTTTTTTTGTACAATCACAGAATTATCAATATTAATTCTATAAAGAATTATATTGCTGTTGTGCTTAATGTTCTTTTAGAATACTTAAACTTTGTATAAAAATAACTTTGAAATTAATGATAATAAATTTAGTTTATTTATAAATCAACTGCTGCCTTAAAAATAATATCATACTCTTTGATCCAGGTATCCAATTCTTAGGACCTTATTTTAAAGCCAGATATTTAAAAAATACAATAAGATTTATATACGAACATATTCAATTAAAGCCTAAAAATAAGCTAGGTATCCAGTGATAATGAAATGATTAAATATAATTTATCTGTATATTATACAATGCAGCCATAAGAATCTGTATTTTAGAAGTAACTACAAACCAACATCAGAGGAAATTCTTACATTACAATAATGAATCAAACAACAACAATTTTTAAGAGGTTATACAATATCACCTCCCACTTGAGTATTTAACACAAATTTACTAAGAAACACTTACATACACTCAAAATCTATAATTAGTATATATAAAGCAAAATGTTAACAGTGGTAATTTGTGAGAGTTGGGAAGATATGTAATAGGTCTTTTCTTTATCTCCCCCTTTGCACATTTCTGCCTCTGAAAATGTCCTATCATAAATATTTGCAACATCAAATTAAATTTAAATTATTTTAAATTTAAATTTGATTGCCATTGTTTTACAAATAGAACTTAGTTTGACCTGCCAATAATTTATAAAATAAGCCAGATATATACTATTTAGGGAATTTATTATTATATGAAATGTGTAAATGACATTATGATACCAGTAGTTATGTAAAATCCCGACTTAGAAATTAAGAGATCACACAATTTTTATATAATGATCAGGCATACAGCTTCATAATGCTGAAATATTTTCAAGCAAATTCAGTAAAATCATGCAAATATCAATTTCTTAATAATATGCTACAAGTAGAAATTCAATGGTATAAAAAATAGGCACATTACATGCTGTCATAGATATTATACTATGGTGAAGATTATATATTTTTTAATTTATATGATTTAAACATTTTAATAATCCAAAATATTATCAGACAGACTTAGGCACAGGAGAACTGAAAAAAAGTGTACCTATCCATAAATAAAAAGTAGAGTCTACTTTGTGAATCCTTCTGGGAAAAAGAAATGAGTTCAGACATGAAGGATAAATCAAATAAAAGAGCATTCTGAATAGAAAATAGCATTAGCTAAATGCAAAATAGAAATAGTAAGAATATAAGGACCTATGAAATCCCATCATTAGAATGAAGATGACATTGATAAAGTAACACAAGCTACTGCTAGAGAGCTTGGTGGGTTCTCTTCAGGCAAAGTCTTCTAAATCATCTGAAACACACTGTCTTTTTTTCTTGGGACAATGAGAATCCACTGCCTAGTATTTTTGCCTAGTAGAGAAGTGGCATTATCTGATGTTTTAAAAAGATTATTTTCTCTGCACTGTGCAGACTGGACCAAAGAAAGGGCAGGAAATAAATGTTATAAGATTACCAAAATAAATTGAGTGTGACGATACCTGGACTATGGTTGTATCAATAAAGATGGAGTGTCATAGGCAAATCTGTGAGATTTGGAGCTGATGGAGTAGGAGAAATCATGCATGACTCAGAGGCTTCAAGCTCGAGCAACTGGGTAAATCATGGTGCTATTTCTTAAAAAACTTAACAACAGATGTGGAGAAGATTTAGAAGAAGATAATAACTCCAGTTTAACATGTTCAACTTGATGTATCTTTGTGATATGTAAGTGGAGATTTTGAGTAGGTGATTTAATGCTTAGGAATGGAATTCTCAAAAATGTCTGTGTTAGGAATTTACAAGTATCACTGAAGATCAGACAAATTTCTCTTTATGGTCTTGGACATTCCTTACAACTTGCCATTCAAATAAAATTTCTTACTTTTCTTTCCTTGGAAAAAATATAAAATTAACAAACTGAATATTAAGTAAAATACACAAATGTGTTTCTTCCAAATAACTGTGTTTCTTTCAAATATTGCTACAAAGGAAATAATAATCATGTCAAAATTCTGATGCAAAGGTTGTCTTATACATGTTCAATTACAAATAAAGTCAGACAAGTATATCTCTTATAAATGAGATAGCCAGGTTTGGATGTTACCAATAAATATATCTCAAATATTAATAGAAGTATGTGATATTTGGGGACTGTTTTTTCTGACTAAGGACTATAATTATAAAATAGGTCAAACACTGTCCAATTTGAAACAGGTTCCAAGCCTTACCATCGGAGCTTGTCTATCAGTTACAGGTAAATCCCTCTTTGCACACCTGCTTATTAAAATTAGCTTTAGTTGTTTAGAAGCCAGGAGTATTTGGAAATCTCTGCTTCGATAGAATGCTGAAAGCAGTGCTGATAGGAATTTATTGAAGAAAAAGCAAATTGTGCATTTGAAACTCATTTGTTGGGAACAAAACAAACATACAAACTCCATTATGCAATATCTGGAAACATGCTTTTCATTATGCATAAAACAATCAGTGTAAATTCTATATCTTTATTAACGCTTCTACTTTATAAAACATAAATTCTTAGGAATTTTATTTTACCTGAGGACCCAAATGTTTTAGAATATTTCCTTATGAATTAAAGTTGGTTAAATATCAGTTTCTTGAAGCATACTTTCTACTTTCCAAAAATATATAGACAGGATTCCACTATTTCCAAACTTTAAATGTAATTGTGGAGAAGTCTAAGGTCAACCTGCTTTATTTACCCATGTCATCAACATGCTTTTCTTTTTCTCTCTCTGATAGCTTGTATTCTGTTCCAATATTTCAAAGCTCTACAGCTTCACCTGAATACGTCTTGATGTTGCCGATTCTCTGTGTGCTTTTCTTCCGAAACATTGTATTTCCTTTCTATCAACAGATTTTGTTTTCCATAGGAAGGAAGAAAGGAAAGAAGGAAGGAGAGAGGGAGGAGGGAGGGAGGGAATGAAGAAGGAAGGAAGGAAGGAAGGAAGGAAGGAAGGAAGGAAGGAAGGAAGGAGAAGTAAGGAAGGAAGGGAGGAAGGGAAGGGAAAGGGAGGATAGGAAAGGCAAAGGAAAGGGAAGGGAAGGGGAGGGAAGGGGAAGGGGAGCAAAGGGAAGGGAAGGAAAATGAGAAAGAGAGAGAGAAGGAAGGAAAGAAAGAAGGAAAGAAAAAGAACGAAAGAAAAAGAAAGAGAAAGAAAGAAAGGAGGGAAAGAAAGAAAGGAAAGAAAGAAAGAAAGAAAAAGAGAAAGAAAGAAAGGGAGGGAGGGAAGGAAGGAAGAGAGAAAGAAAAAAACATAAAAATAAAAAGAAAAAAATAATAAAAATGTTTCCTCTAGTTTGGTTTTTATTCTCATATATATATGACATATATGACATATATGATATATATGATATATGAGATATATATGATATATATGATATACATATAAAATTTGTTTGTATTTTATTCCATGCTTCGCTTACATGAGTCACTGTGATGTTGAATCACCCTTTTAGTCACCATTCCTGCTATACTCTAATCCCTCTCATCTGCATAATTTTTCCTCTCCCTAATTTATCTGTTTATCTCAGACCTTTCCTCCACATCATTAATTCATTCTCATGCTGTGTCTAGTGTCCTTTGTTTTGTTGTAGTATTTATTTATTTCTAAGTTCTATAATAGTTTTGCTCCAGTTGTACTGTTTTTCAACTTTTAATCTTTTATATCTCTTTTATATTGTATTTTATAGGCCTCAAATTCTCGTATATTCTACTTTTTAACCTTTAATATTACTGATAATATAAAATATTTATTGTGAAAAATTGTGTGTCTTTCTGTAGGTTGGATTGTTCATGTCTTTTTCATATTTTATATTACTTTTTAATTTTGCAATATTTTTGTGTGATCATTATATTTCTGTTTTTTCAAATCAGAGAGTAAGTGAATGTTTTTAATCTAATTCTATTTTGTTTTACCCCCAGATATTTTATTGGTGGACTGTCTTTCTTACTTTTACTATCATGACATGTTATTTGTACAATTACTTAAAATCACCAGTTTGAAGACTATGAGCTGATGGTCTTTATCCTCTTCTAATATAGCTTGAGGAGACTGGGCCAGAGAATGGGGAACTATTTGCACTTATTCTAGTCTTTGCTCAGCTGTCGGAGTCTCTTGGGGAAAGCATTTTTGTTTTGGAGTACTTATCGATAGTGGGTGCAACAATAAGCCCATGAACCTTTTCTGGACAACCATTCTCTTCTTCAAATTTACCTACCATCTTTCAGTCACCTTTTCATTCTATTTGCAGCTAGAATAAGGGTAAATAGGCAACAGTTAGGTATGTTTTTATTTTGGCCTTATCTGTTTTATAGTAATTTGTGTAATGCAAAGGTAGTTGCTTGCTCAAAATCACTCTATTGGTGGGACACATGGCTTATTTGAAGAAACGCAAGTCCGATGTGAATGGAAATCAGAGAAGGGAGATAATGGGTGAAACAACCAATTGAGATTGGAAGAATACATAGTGGCCAGTCTGCAGGACTTGCAGAAACACCTAAGTATTTGAAAGAGTTTTATCAGGTATTACAATCTTCATGGTTAACTTTGTACTTTTAAAAAGATACATTGCAGCATGAACAGTAGATTAAAGAGGTCACTTTAGATAAGGCAGTCAGGTCTAGGATAATGATCACATTTATTTGATAGTAATGAAAACTGACAGAAGCAGGTGAGTATGAGATTGATTTAGTGGGCGAGATGATAGGATGCAGAGAAGCTTGATTAAGAAAGATAAATGAGAAAGGCAGGGTGCGGTGGCTCACACCTGTAATCCCAGCACTTTGGGAGGCTGAGGCGGGCAGATCATGAGGTCAGGAGATCGAGACCATCCTGGCTAGCACGGTGAAACCCCGTCTCTACTAAAAATACACACACACACACACACACACAAATTAGCCAGGTGTGGTGGCGGGTGCCTGTAGTCCCAGCTACTCGGGAGGCTGAAGCAGGAGAATGGCGTGAACCCGGTAGGCGGAGCTTGCAGATCACACCACTGCACTCCAGCCTGGGTGACAGAGCGAGACTCCGTCTCAAAAAAAAAAAGAAATATAAATGAGTTAAGTATTGTTATCTTTAGTAATTAAAGCTATGAGTATGAGCTCCCCTCAAAAATCTAATATTGATTGAAAAAAGCTGGGGGCTTAAATATGAGGCTTGTTTTCCAGTATGCAAAAAGATGACAAAGAAAAGTAGGGAGAAAAAGACTGCAAAAGTTTGCTTAGAAAAGACTGCAAAAGTTTGCTTAGAAAAAGACTGCAAAAGTTTGCTTAGAAAGTTAGAATGTCAGTTATTTCCTTTAGACTAGATTGGCTTCCTTAAGTAAAATATTTTCTATGCAGTAGTTTTACAGAGGGCATTAGGCTGAAGTGGTTAAGAGTAAGAGTTCTGGGCATCAGATAATTGGTCTGCATCAAACCCTGGCTCTAGATTCTCACTGTGTGTCACTGTGTGACATGTTATAAACCTCTCTATTTCTCAGTTCCCCTTGAGTATAATAATTACTTTTCATACGATAGAGTTATGAGAGTTAAAATATGTGCTTGACATACAGTAATGCTGGCAAGTGACAGCAGCCATAGCTGCAATGTCTGCCATAACTGTGAACTCTAGTGCTATGTTATAAATCTCACATTCTCTGTCAGAAACAAGCTAAAATACATAGTTATCAAGGCAAGGATTATATTTGTAAAATAATTCTAAAATTATAACTATAAAAATTACATATTCAAAGATTATTTCAATTCAATAAAGGGAAAGCATTTGGAAGTCTATGGTAATTAGAAAAGTCTGTGTGATAGTTATCAATAGGAGTTGCTTCAAATGAAGTGCTGGGTTTTAAGTATAAAGAGAGATTATTGGTATCAATTGTCTGCTACTGAATTAAAAAAAAAAACCCAGCCCAAAGAGAAATGATCATTTAATTTGCTCATAATTCTGCAAGTTAGTCATTTGGGTCAAGTTCAGATGGATGGTTCTTCTGCTGATTTCAACTAGAGTCACTCATGTTCCTTCAGACATCTGTAGGACTGCCTAAAGGCTGATGCCTTTGGTTTCATGTTTGATTCTTGAGGCTTGCTATAAGATGATTGATGTGGAGAGGCTCAGATGAGGTGATTTCTCTCTGCTCTACTCAGTTTCTCATCGTCTAATCAGATAGGCTGAGCATCCTCACAGATAGACTTAGGGCAGCAATCCAAGAAAGTAAAAATGGCATCTGTAAGGCTTCTCAAAGCTTAGGCTTAGTACTACCACAACTTCTCTTTCTCTGTACTCTGTCAAAGAAAGTCACAAGCCATCAAGAGAATAAAGAAATGGATTCCACTTCCTGTTGGGAAGAACAGCAAAGTTCAGTTGAAGAAAATAAATGCATACAGAGATGGGAGAAAATGTTTTTGAAGGGATATTTTAAATAACAAAGACGAGAGGAGCAAAGACATAACAGTAACACGAGCTATTGCATGTTGAAGAGTTGAGATAGGCTGGTCTGCTTGGGGTGAAAATCCCTTGTGAGAGATCTTTAAGATAGATAAAGTATTCACTCATTGAGTTTTTAGAACAACTCTGTCCAAGAGAAAAATATTGTGTGCCACAAATATAAGCTAAATATAAAATTTTAAATTTTAAACCATTTTAAAAAGTAAAAGGAAGCAAGTGGTAAAAGCGATATATTTGACTCTATATTAATATTTAATTATTATTATTTAAGTGGATAATCAATATTCTTAAACTGTTAGAGATATTTTACATTCCTTTGTTTGTACCAAATATTTTAAATTAGGTATGATTTTCTACTCATAGCATATCTCAATTCAGACTACACACTTTTTACCTGCACAACAGCCAGGTGTAGCTAGTAGTCAATATTTTGGGAAGTTCAGCTATAGAATGCTGCGTTTAGAATCTTTCATTTGAATATTTTAGAAATATATAGTTTCCAGCTTGGAGTCACAAAAATTACTAGCCCAGAATTATGATACCTGGCCTCTATCTCTGGCTAGGCCCCTAATGTGTATTTTTATTATAATAGCTATTAAATATCTTCATTTCTTCCTTGAAAGTAAGTGTATTGGCCAGTATTTAATGTATTTTGGACCTCTAATATTACATAATCCTCTTATTCTTAGACAGAGTCTAAAAAAATTTTGGTTTCACTGTAACGAATGTGTATAGAACTGAATTATAGAGCAACTAAAGCAAGACCGCCAATTAGGAAATGGCAATATGTTGAGTACGTGCTGAAAACAGAGAGGAAGAGGAAAGACAATAGCTAATCCTCGGAGAGAAAGGAACTGAGCCTGAGCCTAAACTTGTTAAAAGTGTTATTGACTGATTGAAAAAGAAGCAAGAAATATAAACTAGTTATCAGAAAGAGTGAATTTCAAAGTTCAGAGAGACTGGATGTCTTTACATAGTGATTGTAATTGAAACCATGGTAAAGAATCCAGAGAAACTTTTCTCCTAAAAGAAGTAAAGGAAAAAAAAATAGAACAATGTCTATACTTGGTGCCAAGGAAAAACATTAAACTATAATCAATGACAAAAGAAAAGAGCCAGCCTAGAGTACTGTAAAGGAAAAGCTAAGAAAAATTTAAAGAAGAAAAAGTAATATTTAACATTTTGAAAAGCTATATAAAATTAAGGAAGTTGACAATTAAAAGAAAAGCTAGGTTTTATAATAAAAAAGTAATTAATGATATTTAAAAGAGAGATGGGCATGAGACCCATTAACAAAACTGCTTATTCTATTTTGATGAAATGGGAGCAATGACTGTAAATTATTTCTTGAGAAGTTTTGTGGATAGTGAACAATATCTACTGACCACTGTCCATAAAAAGTAGATAAAATCACCTCAACATTGTCTATAAAAATAAAAACAATAATGGAAGTGCTAAATTATTAATTGAATTGGAAAAATATATATATATATCAAAGATTGTAGATAAGAAAGAATTAGTTAAGGAAGTACTTACAAATATACAATGATACTTTCTATGACATGCAAACTTCTTAGCGGTGATAACTTATTTCCAGATTATTTATTTTTATTTTAAAAAATCATGTGGAAGTTTTGTAAATAACAGAGACCTATCTAATTTTTACCAATTTCTCTTATATTCTTTCACACACTTAGGAATATCTGGATGAACAGACTGAAAGTAATTGATTAAAAATCAAACATCGCCCTCATTGATAAGAAACTTACTAATCCCCAAACCCTTGTGTGAAACAATTAGCAAACATTTGAGCGCTGATGTTTCTTAATGGTAAGGGAGCATCACCAGGAGTTAAGATTGCCTCTTTATTATGTGAGTAAATAGTAGTTGTCTATGCGTTTCATAACTGATTCAAATACTGTACTTTATCACCATTGAGACTCTGAAGCAAGCAGATAATGTATTTTTAACAACAGTTTCACTTTCTCTGAAACCTATATAGCTAGCCCACAGCAACAGTGCCAAACACAGTGCTGGAGGAAAAAGGACTCCTAATAGTATTATTTTTTTCCTACCTCTCATCTAACTTTACAAATGGATAAATGTTAGGAAAACAGGTAAAGAAAGGGAAGGAAACAAGAATCTGGTCTTAGAGTTTGGTGCATTATTAAAGCCTGAATATGGCTTAAAAGTAGAGTATGGTCTGAAACAGTTGCAGTTGAAGAGACAGCAGGAAGCATCACACTGACTTGGGAAAGTGTATTAGTTCTAGAGCTTACATGTATATTGCTCCTACACCATCTGGTTCCATCACATTTACCTCAGGTTGTTCACAGGCTTCCTATTGTGCATATGGACACTTCTCATAATAAATCAACCTGTTTATGCAGATAAAACTTTTATATAAACTCAGTTGCTGAACTGCTAAATTAGGACTTAGAAATATAATTAACATCTAATTGCAGGTATGTGAATTGATGTTTTGCTAAATTATAAATATTGTTCATTAAATATGACAGATATGTTCCTGGCAAGCTACTCCATAAATTTCCTCTCCTATGTGACCTAAAACTCTAAAAATATTTTTACTTATAATTAAATGATTAAAACTATTATTAGCACTATACTGTCAAATGGAAACTGTAAAAAAATTAACTGACAGATGGTAGTATAAGACATATTAATGTAACTAACTGAAAAATCTAAGGATCCCAATTTAGCAGCCTGGAAAATTCGAATAAAGAGCAATAATTGAGGTAAAGTGAGTGTCTAAGACACAATTTCAGAGTAAGAAAATATAAATAGGTAAGTTAAATAAATTTTAAAGACTCCTATTGTGCATTAAAGAGTAAACTACTAAGGTTAGAAAAAATTATTAAGAAAAATTAGATTTGAGATTATTCCATGTGGATATATTAACATGTTAATAAATCCCCTGTTATCTATTTTTGAAATTTTATTATAGTACTTAAATTAATAGGCATTAAACTTTGAAAATGGACTAATTCTTAGAATTTTGAAAGCATATATATGGTTTATAGTCACAAAACAATTAAATAATCTAGGCTTAGGAAATCCTGTCAACCATATAAAGAACACTGAAATATTATTTGGAATAAAATCTCAAGTTCACATCTACTTGGCCCCTGATACTTTGAAACTCCTACTAGTTCTGCTAATATATCTTCACAGTGAGTCCTAGCTAACACCTGTTCATGACTAGCACTGACTTGCTGCTGACCTCTTTTCTATGGACAGCAGAATTGGTGCTGATAAAGGTATGTAACTTTGGTTCATCTGCTAATATGCACAGTGTAACTGTGTTTCTTGACTCCTCTTACTGTCATAGCAGCAGAGCCCTTAGAATTTGAGAAAAGTCATCTGCTCTAATGATTACAGATATTAATCCAAATCTGAATTGTGTTTCCCTCACTATTACAGATCGGTAAGCAAGCAAGCCCTTTACTTGCTTTTAGTGAGTACTCTTGTTTTTCATTTTAAAACCCTATTCATCAAGATACCTGGAAGATATTTGCGGGGTACCTCTTAGTACTGTCTCACACATTCTTCACTCATTCTTAAGTGATTTCGCAGCCTGCGTCACATGAGTTTGGACTGCTTCCTATTCAGAGAAGTTTCTTCCGTGCTACTCTTCTAAGAGACTAGACCATTGTGCCCTCCTACTCTTCACGTGTTACTCTCCATACGCACATCACCATTTCTCCCAAAGGTTAGGTGCTCGAAAAAGTATACCTGTTGGTGGCATAGCTTGAAAATTTCTGAGTCCCATAATAAACATGTTGAGTAATGCTACACCTTCTATTCCTTCACCCTTCACTACTTGACACCATCTCTAATGAGATTCTGACATATTTATCTTACCTCATAAGTGTATAGTCAACACAGAAATTCATCCATTTAATATAATTTCTGTCTATAGAAAAAGTGGAAAAGTGGCATGAGTTCTGTTCTTTATACATCTACACTTACATGTTTGTTATTTCAAATCATATTAATTTATAAGGAAGAGATTTATTGGGCATGTTCTTAGACAGATCATTCTCTAGATTTGGAGATATGTCCAAATAAATTACTCTGACACAGTTACAGCTTAGTGTATCTTCACAAAATGACCAAATTATCACAGGTTTTTTTAAACAGAAAATTATACCCTAAAATGTCCTTCTTAGACTTGCATTTTAAATACCAATTTCACATGACATTTTCATAGTTGTCATAATGTTCTCCATGACAAGTTTAAGCTTCTTTGACAGAAGAAATAATGATTTTCTAATTCAGGCTGCATTGTAAAAACAGTGGGAAATTTTATATTTAAGAAAAATACACTTATTACCTTCTAGAAACTGAAAGCTAATCCGTTCAAAGTAAATTTATGATACAATCTGAAAAGGTAATATTGAATAAAGACTATAGATTTATCTCACTTATGTGTAGGATAAACATATAACTTCTAAGTCAAACTGTGAAACATTTGAGAGTAAAATGACGTGCTATTGAGATTACGATAGAAGAATAGGCATAAAATTTAGGCTGTCTTGATAAAACAATACATAGTCACCCTGGTTGTATAATTTTTGAAGTACTTGAAGTACTAAAGTATTAATTGAGTGATAATAAACACATCACTTCCAAGCAAGGAAGTGATTTTATAACACTGTTCTTGATTCAAGTAAACCATTGGGAGATACAAGCTTGATTTAATAACATTATTAGTTATGAAAGCAAGGAGAAAGAAAATAAAGTACTGAATCACTTTAAGGTCTGCATTAATTATCAGATATATACTAATAGTTGGAACTTAAATGTGCTGAAATTGCACATCTTCGAATTAAGAAAAACCATATTATAAATGTAGTATATTATACCATGTTAAGTCAGCAAATAATTTAAGACAATATGAAAATTGTAATAAATAGAGAAGATATTTTTAAAAATATAACATATATTTATTTCTTTTGAAAGACAACAAAAAATTGAAGACAAATATTTCCATAAAAATATATTTATTTCAAATTGTCATATTTCAAATGTGATACTTAACAATCCTCTACAAAAAGTACAGAAAAAGTCATCTTTTATTTCTTATTCTAGTGAGACTACCATCAAGCTATTTCAGCCATGTTTTTAAAAATGATAAACTTTCAGAGAAATCAAACCTTCATAATAGATATTTGATACTCACCTCATCTCTACTGAACTCATCAAAAAAATACAAAAATAGGATGATAAGAGGAAGTTCCAGGGTGAAAGCTAAGGAACAGTGCCTTCTTAATGTCAGGAATTTATTTTAGCTTAATCACATTTGACACCAAATTAAATAATAATACCTAAGGATGGATTGCATTTTTACTCTGAGAGAGTAATTTAAATTCTTTAGAATACATATTCCCTGTAGGGATAGTAACACCCTCAAAGAGGGGTTCCTTAGGATTGAAACCATATGTATATATGTTAAAATCATTTTATCTTTCTTTAAGGTCATAGTACATACATATGTATGCAGTATATCTCTGGTATTAAAATTTCAAAGGAAGTCCAGAAAATAATGTTTTAAAAGACTTCTAAGAAAGGTGACTATAATGGGAAAAAAGGCTATAATGGAGAAAAAAAGGGAAAAAGAGAAAAACTGAGAAACACTGCTCTAAAAATAGGTAAAAGAGTTTGTGGCTAGAAGAGGAAGTATGGGAGTTAGACGTAGGGACTCTCTGTGCACAGATTTTTTTGGTTACTGTGGAATTCACAACCAACTGTGGCAGGGATCTCAGGAAACAGACAGATACGCAAAAGTATTGAATCTCACCTGTGTTGAGCAGGTAAAATGGTGCTGGGGGATTTCACAAACAAGCCAAAGAAGCAATAGCTATGAAGAATCTAGGCAGAATTTGAGGGTGGATGTTAGAAAAGGATAGGGACTTGTTTGGACATGTCAAGTAGCAGATTACTGTTTTCAGTGGCATGGGTTTTGGAAGAGCTTTTCCTCAGATAATATTGATAGATACTTCATGTGCAGATTAAAAATAGTGGCCAAAGGATTTGTCACTGAAAGGAGACATTTTTGACTGCATAGAGAACTAGCCACAGCAATTCTAGCATTTGGACAGCAACTTTGCTGAATACAAACAACAACAACAAAAACAGCTGAGAGCAAGTTCTTTCAATGGTTGAAGATAAAAATGCTTGCTGAAGAAATACATTTGAATAAATAGAATACCTATTTGAAAAACAAACCTAATTACCAACTTTCTAAATACTGATTTTCTAATGACCTCATCTGATGGGAAGAAACTGCCTCTGTTATATACAATGCTGAAAAACAATGGGCCAAAATTTATACCACATGTTACTGATTCTAGTGAGGAGGGTTGTGGAGGAAGTGGGGATGGGTAAGGAGTACCAATAAAATGACTAGAAAGAATAAGACCTAGTTTTTGATAGCACAACAGTGTGACTACAGTCAATAATTTAATTGTACATTTTAAAATAACTAAAAGATTATAATTGGATTGTTTGTAACACAAAGAATAAATGCTTGAGGGGATTAATACCACATTTTCCATGGTGTGATTATTATGCATTAGATGCTGGTATCAAAATATCTCATGTACTCCATAAATATATACACTTACTATGTACCCCAGAAATAAAATAAAATTAAAATTAAAAATGTATATTGGGCATGCATTTACTCAATGCTATATCAAATAAAACTTCCCTGCATTGAGAATGGCATATCATCATTTAATACCTTTTATAAACAAAGACTAATGACTGACTACATATGTGTTTAGTATTTTAATAAGTGTACATAATTTATTTGGCAATTGAAAAAATCAATTCTAAAATAATTTCTGTAAAACATTTATTAACATTCCCATAGAATACATTGTTAGAAATATTTGATTAGTTTAAAATAATAAATTATTGCTTTTAGAGAAAAGTAAATAGTTAATCTGTTCTCACAAACACAAAAATAATGCTTTCTATATAATTTCCAAATTACTACTTTCATTCTGGTTAAGAGATATTTAATATGAATAGTATTAATCACCTCAAAAGTATCATAATTTCTGAGTATTTCTCTTTAAGCAAGTGAATCTCCTCTGAGTTGGAAAGAGGCTAACATTTAAAATGTTAAAAAATATGTGCTGAAAGATTGTAGCATCATGAAATGCTGTTAATTATTATATCATTGAAGTTTCCCTAATTAAGAAAAGACAATTAAATTTTAAAGAAAATCCTTGACTTTCTCTTCTCAAAAGAGGAGACACTCCATCCAATATGAGAGTGTTTCCATATGAAATATTTGTATAAGGTGAAGTGCAGAGCATTAATTCTATAAACCGAGAGCAATTTTGGACTATACTTTGTACCCCATCATTTGATTCTAATACTTACAAAATAATAATACTTATATAGCCTTATCACATAGACTAATAGTGAACATTATAAGGTTATTTAGAAGAATATGACTAAAAGGGAAAAACTGAGAAAAAAACTAATACAGTTTTAAACAGAATGCCTGGCCGGTTAGAATGTGATGATTTGGCAAAATATTAACAAACGTAACATTTGAATTATAACTTGAAAAAACAAACAGCTCTCCAAAATGGACTATAGTTTCAGGCAATAATTCAAGGTGCTACTATAATTATGCTTATTGCTAGGTATCATGAATAACCAGAATTATATACAATTCATTTACTATTGTCAACAAAATTGAACCCATATTAATCGCAGTTGTCTGTACTGGTACCTATCTGCTTATTATTGAAGTGTTTATATTTTAAGGAAGTTATTATAAATGTAACATTTTAAACAATTGCTGATGATAGTACTTAATGCTAAGACTGACAATTTTAAGCAACTTTCAAGGTAAAAATATTGTATTTCTTATCACAAATATGAACATCTATAAGTACATCTTGAAAGAGTGGTTACGGAGTGTTGTCATGGAAACATTTGTTTCTATGCTACTACTCCGAGAGGCTGTGGCAAAATTTCCCAAACTCCACTTGCTCGCAATAGCCTCAATAATAAGCAATAATGCCACTGATGGGTGCATTCCTCTTTGTAACACAAGTGTTGAAATTGCTGTACAATCCCTTATATTCTATCTAAAAGTGAAAAAAAAATCTATATGAATTGATGGCAAAACAGTTTTAATTCTTATATTAGTGATGGTTTACTGACAAAGATACTAGAATATAACAAATTAGTATTTTTGTAGTATATTTTTAAATGACCTATATATAATGTGTTATATTTGCTTATATATCCACATAATGGGTTATATTTGTTTTTAATTATTGATTATATATCCTTATATTTACTCTTACTTACTGATTTATACTTAGAATGTTGTCACAAGCTAGATCTAAATTTGCAATAACATGTTGGGATAGTCATGATTCATGGTAGAATTTGAATCTGAGTGATGTACATTAATAATAATTAAAATTAACTTCCACAATGCTGGACTTAACTTATTGATTTTTTTCCCAAACCATTTAACACCCAGCTTGCTCTCATCTCTTAGCCTTCATAGGAAATATTTCAGATGATGACTGTTTTGTATATTTTGAACAGTCATTCTATTAAGCAAACATTTAAAATTTCCTAATATGGTTTATCTTTGGGAATGATAATCATGTAAATAATAATTATAACACTATTGAGGTTATGCGTGATGAAAAATGAGTAGACAGACAATAATAATAACAATGCTAATATATCATGAGTATTTTCCATGTTACAGGCAGTTTGGCACTTTGCAAGCCTCTGTTCAATTTCTTAAGATGAGATTTTCTTCCTATTATAAACTTAAAAGTTCAGGCTCAGGAAGATTATATAATATGCCTAATATTATAAAATTATGTAATGATGATTACGGAAGTAGAGCGACAATTTATCTGACCCAACAGTCAATATTTTTAGCACTAATATGTACTGATTTTCAGAGCAACAGACTGGTTATTATAGTTGTGGCTAGCTTCAAGCAGGATACAAACATTAATTTGGGTTTTAAAATATAAGTAATAATGTGTCAGGCAAAAGGAATCAGTAACATGTGGTATAAATTTTGCCCTATTATTTATCCGCATTGTCAAAGAAGCCAGATACAAAAAGCATATATTGCTTATGATTCAAATTTTAAGATATTCTGGAAAAGGCTAAACTATAGTGGCAGAAAACAAAAACATAGTTACAAGTAGTCATATGTAGAAGGAGGAGATTGACCACAAAGAGCTGCAGGGACCCACTGGCGGTGATGGAAATGATTTATATCTTCGTTGTGTTGGTGTTAATATTCTGTGTACGCTTGTCAAAATTATTCAAACTAGCCATAAATTATACCTCAATAAAATGTAAGACAAGGAAAATATAATAAAAATATACTGAAATGTTTATAAGTATGATCTTTTTAAAAATATGTTCTGGAAAGAAGAAGCAATGCCCAAACTAGACACAGTTTTATGTTTGTCATCTATAGACGACTTGCATCTACCTATTTGGAGCAATCTCATTTTATACAAAATTATATCAACTATTTTCATTTAAACTGTTTGCCATAACTTTGGATATGTAACTATATCACTGATGTGTGGTACACTCATCCTTTCACAGAGATAATTCACAAAGAAAAAGATATATGACAACAATATTTCTTTACCTTAGTCCTTTACAGACAGGTGAGGAGTAATGTAAATGTGACCATGATTAATCTATTTATTCTCTTAATCATATATGTAAAATATCTAGAATTATATTTTAGGTTTTAATTTTAATTTATTAGGCCTGTTATATTTACATCTGTTCGGTGTAAATCATATATCCAGAGAGACTCACCTGTTCCTTGATTGAGCAAATATTTTTCTTTGCCTACAGTTTATGTTATACTCCCTAATTCCCCTCCATTACCAGACACACACTCATTTTAAAATGAGATTGGGCTACCTAGGAAAATATGACCTCACCAAATGAACTAAATAAGGCATCAGAAACCAATCCCAGAGAAATAGAGATATGGGATCTTTTAGACAAAGAATTCAAAATAGCTGTGTTGAGGACACTCAAAGAAATTCAAAATAACACAGAGAAGGAATTCAGAATTCTATCAGATAAATTTATAAAATAGATTGAAATAATTTAAAAAAGCAAAAATTTTGGAAATGAAAAATGCAATTGGCATACTGAAGAATGCATTAGAGCCCTTTAATAGCAGAATTGACCAAGCAGAAGAAACAATTAGTGAGCCTGAAGGCAGGCTATTTGAAAATTCATAAGTAAGAAGACAGAATATTTGGATTTCTATTCCTGAGTTACTTCACTTAGAATAATGACCTCCAGCTCCATCCAAGTTGCTGCAAAACACATTATTTTTTTTCCTTTTCATGACTGTGTAGTATTCCATGATATATATACCACATACTCTTTATCTATTCACTGGTTGATGGGCACTTACGTAGGTTGGTTCCATATTTTTTCAACTGTGAATTGTGCTGCTATAAACATGTATGTACATGTGTCTTTTTTATATAATGATTTCTTTTCTTTTGGGTAGATAACCAGGAATGGGATTGCCGGATCAAACGGCAGTTCTACTTTTAGTTCTTAAAGGAATCTCCATAATGTTTTCCATAGTGGTTGTACTAATGTACATTTCCACCAGCAGTGTGAAAGTATTCCCCTTCAACCACATCCATACCAACATCTATTATTTTTTTGACTTTTTAATTATGGTCATTCTTGCAGGGGTAAGGTGGGATCTCATTATAGTTTTAATTTGCATTTTCCTGATGATTAGTGATGTTGAGCATTTTTTCATGTGTTTGTTGGCCATTTGTATATCTTTTTCAAGAAATGTTTATTGATGTATTTTTCCCACATTTGATGAGATAATTTGTTTTTTACTTGCTGATTTGTTTGAGTTTCTTGTAGATTCTGGATACCAGTCCTTTGTTGAATGCATAGTTTGAGAATACTTTCTCCCACTCTGTGGGTTGTCTGTTTACTATACTGATTATTTATTTTGCTGTACAGAAGCTTTTTAATTGAATTAGGCCCTATTTATTTATTTTTGTTTTTGTTGCATTGGTTTTTGGAGTCTTAGACTAAAATTCTTTGTGTAAGCCAATGTCTAGAAGAGTTTTTTCAATGTTATCTTCCATAATTTTTATGGTTTCCGGTATTAAATTTAAGTCTTTGCTATATCTTGTGTCGATTTTTGTATAAGGTGACAAATGGGGACCCAGTTTAATTTTTCTACATATGGCTTGCCAGTTTTCCCAGCTCCATTTATTAAATAGAGTGTCCTTTCTCAATTTATTTTTTTACATGGTTTGTTGAAAATCAGTTAGCTCTCTGTATCTGGCTTTTATTTCTGGGTTCTCTATTCTGTTTCATTGGTCTACATGCCTATTTTTATACCAGTACCATGCTGTTTTGGTAACTATACTCTTGCAGTATAATTTGAAGTTGAGTAATTTGATGCCTCCAGATTTTTTTTGTTTTTGCTTAGTTTTGCTTTGGCTATCTGAGCTCTTTTTGATTCTGTATGAATATTAGGATTGTTTCTTCCATTTTTATGAAGAATGACGGTATTTTGATGGGAATTCCATTAAATCTGTACACTACTTTGGGCAATATGGTCATTTTCACACTATTTTTCCCACTCACGAGCATGGGATATGTTTCCATTTGTGTCATCTATTATTTCTTTCATCAGTGTTTGTAGTTTTCCTTGTAGAGATCTTTCATCTCCTTGGTTAAGTATATTACTAAGTATTTTATTTTTTGCAGCTGTCATTAAGGGAATTGGGTTCTTGATTTAATTACTGGCTTGGTCACTTTTGGTGCATAGCAGTGCTACTGATTTGTGTAGATTGATTTTGTATCTTGAGATTTTACTGAATGCATTCATCATATCTAGCAGCTTTCGGGATAAGTCTTTAGGGTTTTATAGGTGATTGATCATATCGTCAGCGAACAGTGAGAATTTGACTTCCTCTTTTCCAATTTGGATGCCCTTTATTTATCTCTCTTGTCTGACTGCTCTGGTTAGGACTTCCAGTACTATGTTGAATAGAAGTATTGAAAGTGGCATCCTTGTCTTTTTCCAGTTTTTTGGGGGAATTCTTTCAACATTCCTTCAATAAATATTAATATAATATTGAGTGTGGATTTGTCATAGATGGCTTTTATTACTTTGAGGTAAATCTCTTCTGTGTCTATTTTGTTGAGGGTTTTTATTATAAAAGGATGCTGGATTTTATCAAATGCTTTTTCTGTGACTATTGAGATGGTAATATGATTTTTGTTTTTACTTCTGTTTATGTGATGTATCACATTTATTTACTTGCATATGTTAAACCATCCCTGGTATGAAACCCACTTCATCATGGTATAGTATTCTTTTGTTATGCTGTTTGATTCCATTAGCTAATATTTTGTTGAGGATTATTGTATCTATATTCAGTATTTATTTTTGATCATACTGTGTTTTTTATTTCTTTTTTTCCTCTTAAGGATCTGATTTTAATGTTTATAGTTTATTACAACTTAATATGATTCTTGGTGTATTAAGGAGTGAAGACTCTGTATGAGTTCCTTAGTTATAGAAAGTCTTTGTGTGCTGGCTTTCCCACATGCTGGATGTAGTAGTTATTTGTGTGTGCACTAGTTTACTTCTACCATGGGGTTGGAATGGCAGGGATCTCTTGAAGCTTATCTAATTGTCTTATGGTGTACACTTTATTTATTTAATTAATCTTTCCCCATAATTTTATTTACTGAGTTGATGATTCAGGCTTTAGGCCAATATGGGAGATACGCCTGGGTAGGCACCAGTCATAGATAAAGCAGGTAAGTAGATGTAATACCTAACGATAGGCAGAGTTCCCAGCCTTGATGAAGGTGGCTGGGAGAGTTCTCAGTCAGATGTGCTGATGTTTAATGAGAATGAAGAAGGGGAGCTACCCCATCTCCCCGCCAGGTTAGCAGGAAAGCTATCCACCTCACAGCCTCATTCATGTCCCAGTGTCCTGGCTATTCATGGTTATTCAAATCAGACAGGCACCTCTTTTAATCTGTCAGAATGTTGATGTTCCAAGTAGGGAGCGATTGCGACAGGTCTGAATCTGGGGAGACCCTCTCTTGTGTGGCTGCAGTCGCCTTGAATTTTTCCAAGAAGGCTCTCTACAGGTCCATCCATGCTGTGTTTTCATGGGAGAAGATCCAGCTGTGTCTACAGTGGGTGTACCAGAGGTGACCAAGGACTCCTTCTGCAAGACTCTTCATGGTCACAGAGGTTGCCTGCCTGTTGGGGTAGAGATACAGACTTTTCCTACTGCACCCAGCACTGCAATTGTGTCTCTGCTGTAAGAAAGGTCCCACCAGCAGAAAGATCTGGGATTCAAGGACTGTTATTCACTTCCTTTTGTCCCGTAGGCTGTTCCCTTGATGTGGTGCTGTCTGCCTTCCCCTAGGAATGGGACTTTCTGAGAACCAGACTATGCGATTGTTATTGCTCTTCTGGATCTAGCCACCCAGTGAGGCTAACAGACTCCAGGCTGGTGCTGGGGAATGTCTGCAAGGGATTCAGTAATATGACCTGTCTTCAAGTCTCCCAGCAGTGGATACCAGCACCTGAGCTAATGAAAGTGGCAGGGGAATGATGTAGACTCTGTGAGATTCCTTGGTTGTAGATGGGTTTAGTGAGCTGGTTTTCTGGAATACTGGTTATACTAGTAGTGAACTTGTCCTGTGGACAGACTTAGGACCTGTGGTTAGCCAGGGTGTTACAGGCAAATGTATCACACAACCATTTTCCCCTTCTTGTGTACAGTGTTATGCTATGGAGAGGTGCTGTAATGGCCTGTGTTGGTTGGCCTCCAGCCAGGAGATGGTTCTTGCAAGAGAGCACCAGCTGCTGTAGTAGCAGTGGGGTTTGAGCTTGCCCTAAGGTGCCCAGGGAAAGTATTCTGGTTTCTCAGATGATAGGTGGGCCTATAAAGCTCTCAAAGTTCGATGTCCTTTGTGTTAAGCTACCAGGATTGGCAGAGAAATACCTACCAGATGGGGGCAAGGTTAGGCGGGTCTGAGCTCAGACTCTCTTTCGGCGGAGCAGGCCATGGTCCCTGTGGGGGATAGAGTTGGTTCTCAGGCCACTGGGGTTAATGTTTGAGAAGAGAGTATAACTGCCTCTCCTGCACAGAAGAGTTCACAAAGGGAGTGGGGAGTAGCAGGCGCAGCAAGTCCCACACTGCTTACACACAGTTGGCAAGGCCAGTCTGGCTCCTGTAGCGCTCTACTGACAGCGATGAATTTAGATCTAGACAGTCTGTGCATAGAACTCAGACCTGCCGCAGGCCATACACTTCATCGCAGAGATAGTAATCACGGCTTTCAGGCCACTCTCCTCCCTGTATCTCTGCAAGGCCAGGCCATTGCTAGTTCCTGTGCTTGTGGCTGCAGCATACTTCCCTCTTGCCCCCACACAAAGTTCTATTTAAGGGAGTTCATCCTCACTTGAGATTGTATCACAAAATTCAGTTGGGAGTTTATTTTACCCTGATTACCTGAATGGCCAGGCTAAAAGAGCTGCAACACAAACAGGGCTGAATCACGCCCCATTTGCTCACCATGTTGTGGGTGATGAGAAGGAGAGAAGAGAGAAGAGAAGAGCTGCGGTCCTCTGGGGAGACCAGACCTAGAAGCTCCCAGAGCCAGGGCTGTGACACTCTCTTTGGGGCTCTGTGGTTCTGGTGTCAAGCTTCTGGGCGCCACCACGTTCCCCAGTGCCAGCCGTGGAAGCTGCTTTGCAGTATACCTGGTCCAGCCGCAGCCTCACAGGGAGCCACTGCCCATGTCGACACCTAGAGCTGCCCACTGCATCCCTGGCTGTGTATAGTGGCCAGACCCCACACTCACTCGCTCACACACCACTAGCCGCTCCGATTGCTCTTGGCAGCTTATCAGGCCGGTAGCATAAGCCAAGCACAGCCTGCCAGGCCAACTGGGCCCAGTGGGACCGAGCAAAACTCCAGCAAAAGCGCCACTGGCTGCAGAGGTTTCCAGCTGGAAAAGCAACACAAAAAGGATCCTGTAACAGTACTTTCCTTAGAATCTATTTCTCATAATCAACTTCTTATATTTAAAAATATTTTAATAAGTATAATTTTCTCTAGTCAGTTTTCTCTCCTGTACTTTGTCCCCATCCATATACTACACTCCAAATTCAGTCTCTCAGTATCTTAAATTTGTTTTTTTATGATCATTTGCAATTGAGTTTTTACATTTATTGAAGTTTTATTATCATTATTATGGTTCTTACAGAATTTAAATAATGATCTGGTATAAACTTCGAAATACAAAGTTTTTATATGCAAAGGCATATTTTTCTCTTTAATGTTATGCTCTTATTTTAGGCAAATTTTGATTATTGAGAATTAAATTTATTTACTAATGAGAAAAAATTGTCATAAACCTTGCACTTATAAGCCACTCAAAGTTAGCTAGTGTTAATTCAAAATTGTTTTAATTAATGTGAGTTTTAAATTATTTACTTCTTTAGAACCAAGAAAAATAAAATAAATTTACTAAAATATTCAGAAATTCAAAAATAACAATAAGATACAATTAGCGTCTTTCATATAAATTGACCCTTGAACAACACGGTTTTGAACTGTGCAGGTTCATTTACACATGGATTTCTTCTGCCTCTGCCACTCTGGGGACAGCAAAATCAACCCATCCTTTCTTTTCTTCTCTTCAGCCTACTCAATGTGAAGAGAAGGAGGATGAAGACCCTTATAATGATCCACTCCAACTTATTGAATAGTAAATATATTTTCTTTTCCTTATGATTTTCTTAATTAATAACATTTTCTTTTCTCTAGCTTACTTCATTGTAAGGATATAGTATATAATATATATAACATATAAAATGTGTGTTAATTGACTGTTTATGTTATTAGTAAGGCTTCCAGTACAGTTTATGTTATTAGTAAGGCTACTAGCAGTTAAGTTTCAGGAAGTCAAAAGTTATACAGAAATTTTCAACAAGTTGGCAATTCTAGCCCCCATGTTGTTCAAGGGTCAACTGTATTGGGAATCTAAAACAAACTTGTAATTAACCATTTTACTCACTTTATTTACTTTAAAAGTTTTCTTTTTTATACGTGAGGTTATTTAAATAAGAATTAATCTGTCTTTCCTATAGTAACATTTGTACATTTGTAACATTCTTGTCTTGTACGCACATTATTTGTAGATAAGACTATTTTCCTCATTAGAATGTAAGTTTCTAAAAGGCAGTAATAATGTTTTATTCATTCTTAACTTCTCGGACATTATTTTTTACTTATTTATATACTTTACTCCCACTTATTACAGTAAAGTGTTTGATTTGACTTTGGGTAAATTTCTTAACCTTTTTTTGCTTGATTTCTTCATCTATACAATGATGATAATAATGTGTCTAGCTCAAGTAATCACTGGGATAATTAATAATATATGTAGAAAACTCAATAAATATGATTATTTAAAAAGAGAAGGAGGAGAGAGGAGGAGGCATGCAATAAATAGTTTTGAAATTAAACTTAATTTGATGTGACTCTAATGCGATCTTTTCAATGGAATCATCTGTTTAGGTTAATTAGTTAGTGTATGGTCTATGGCAGGAGACATGCATAAAGCATAAAGGTCTTTATTCTCTAGTGAGCAACTCCTATGTGCCAAACTGCCTACACATGTCACTAACATTATTATTAATAATAATACGACCTAATACTAATTGAACAATGACTATATGTCAGGCATTGTGTTAAGGTGTTTCTATGTATTTAATTTTCTAAGCAAATCCTATAAAGCAAGTACTTTATTGTTTCTGAACATACAGATGTAAAAACTGAGGCTCAAAGTGCTTTGTCCAAGATTGCAGATGTATACAGTGGGAAAACTGGAATTCAAATCCAAAATTATCTGTCTCAGTGCCTCTGCTCTTAATTAAATGTATACTGCCTCCAGCAGACTCTACATAAAATATAAGATTGGTATGCCCTTCCAGTTTAATATGTAAACAGGGTGAAGAGGTTAATTTTCTGTGAAGTACATTTTTTTCTTACCTGAAAATACACATAAAACATATCTACCTCAGGTGTCTGGCTCATAGTAAATCATCAGTGCATTCTAATATTTTTAAAATGTTGTCATCCTTAAGGAATTTAGTATTTGGACAAACTACAGTTTCAGCCAAGGTTCTCTGTTCCAGATTCATTCATTCTTACTGCCAAAAATGTAGAACATTTATTCATTTATTCCAGTTCCTTCAGTGTTACATGTATAAATTATAACAGATTTAGCCTTCTTGGCCATGGCCATGAGAAAAGATTACCTCAATATTAGGTTAGTTTCTTCGGGCACATAAAGTAAAAATAAAAAGGCTCACTTGTCTAAGACACTTTCCTATTTGACTCTATTAACATCTTTGTCACTAAACAATCCTGTTATTCCAAGTTGTAACTTGTAGCTTCTGTCCCAAGGTTGACATTGCTGATCACTGAATCACAGAATATTTTCTTTTCTAATCATGCTCCAGTTACTTTTTACATTATCCTGGGTTGTGCTCCAAGGAGATTTTAGGAATTAACATTAATCCTGAAGCGTTATTAGCTTAGAGCTAATAAAAAAACTCAGATATTCATTTTTATCATACTGTAAGTAGCTAAAATACACTAGAATTTTATGAAAATAGTTTTCAGACTTATAAATATTACACTATTATTTTTTACATTGTAATCTCAAAATAACTCTAAGGAGGCATTATGGCCTGATGGATTTTGGCACAGAATAGGCTTGGCACAATACATGCTCTCTCAAATAGTACTAATTGTGTGATCCCTACATTGTTACTTTAATTTTAGCTTTTGATGTCTACTTTTCCCTAGCTATAAAGTAGGCTAATAAAAAGGTACCTTGCCTGTGTTGATGATTAGAGATGGTATATGAATAGTCATTCTATAAATAGTAGCTATTATAAATTCAAGTTTTGTTTCTCAAAGCCACATCCTATGATATAATAATTTTTGGCTTTTTAAATTTTGTTTATTTTAATTAATCTGTGAGAGAGTTTGGAGAGAATTATTTTGATAAAAATAAAATTATTTGTTAGTATTTTTCTGTCAACACTTTTAATGTTAGCATAATTTTTTGTCAGTTATCATCATCATCATCATCACCATCATATTTTTCCCAGTAGCCTAATGGAAAATTCATAATGAGTCATAAATCTACATGAAAGTCCAACTATGTAGAAGCTATTAATATTTTATTGGCAACATAGCTGCAGCTGTCTTTACAAAAATTTAATCTTAAGAGAAGTTTTTGATTGATTTTTCTCCATTAAACAATAGAGGATATATCTATTTTCATTTTTTTCTAATATGACTTTTAACTTTACCTCTGTCATTGGATTCAGAATGGAACATTCAATCATATTTAATGGAAATAACTTATTAAATATTATAGAGAGATGACTTTGATGATACTTTCATTAATTGAAGGTTGCCATAACAACTGAAGGTCTATATTCACCACCTCATAGTTACAAAGGAAACTAGCTCCCTTATATTACCTTTATTGTAATTTGTAACACTAGCACATATGTGGAATGCCTAATTTATCTCAAGATTTTAGTGAGGTGAAAAGGACATGATAAAAAATGCAAATATAGAGGAATTATGTCTATTTTTGTTAGCACAAAGTATCACAAGTTAACTCTTTTTTTGTCCCTGAATGTCTTACAAAGTATTTACTGTTTGCAGACATAATTGCACCCTACAAATGTTTCTAAAATTGGATCTTTATGAGATTTTCTGGATAAGTTATCTATGAATTTCTTTTTAACTAAACTGAAATCCAAATATTAGATACTTTATGCAACACTTGCATGTTCATTGAATGAATATCTCATTAGAAATTAGAGAATTAATTAACAAACAAATATAAATAATTAATTATCTCTAGAGATTAACATAAATTAGGGCAGCCAGCTAATAGTCATAGTAGCAGTAGGTGATATGTCGCTCATTTACCAAATACTGAAGCAAGATATGTGGCAAAAAAAAATCTATATGATTTATTTAAAAAAATATATATTCTGATTTCAAATCCTCATTTGAATCAACTGATTCAAAATTTAAATTCAGCTTTCCCTGGGACTGTTTCTCCTATCTGCAGGACTGGTGATTATATTTAATCACACATAAAACTAAACAATGAGAAATTTTCTCTGTGATTCTATTTCAGTATGGTCAAAGGCCTTACTTTCCCTTAAATAATTTGATAGCTGCTATTAGCACACCATAATTCTCCCATTACTGTAATACTCATTTAGATTGAATTTCATTATTATTAAGAGATTCCTGGGTAGAAAAGTAAAGTCTTAATTAGTCATTTACACCTTTGTTCAAACATTTTAATAGGACCTACACTCCTCTAAAGCACCAGGCCTGCCTACCTCACCTGAACTTCTCTGATCACAATTTCCTCTGCCACCATAGCTCCAGACATACTGGTATTTTCTCATTTTTGAAAATATATTTTACTTTTTCTTGCCTCAATTCTATATAGAATTCTTCTCCCTTCATTTAAACTGTCTCCAGCTCAGTGTGATGGAGGCTTAAGCAGATAGGTCCAAGAAGACGAGGTTACCACTAACAGCTTCTAGTCTAAGGAGATGGTTCCTGTGGGAAGGGCAGGTGACCAGCATTTCTTATGTCTCCAGCCAAGGTTGCAGGGGCTTTACTTGATGAAAATACAACTGAGATGAATGGTGCTTCTTTCCTCCATCCCAGCCTCAACTTGTAGGGTAGAAGCTTTACCTTAGCTATGGAAGGCCAGGGACACTGGGCTTTGACTGTTCTCATCCAAACTGGCTCTTAGGGTAGGAGTTCTGTGCCAAGAGAGGCCACCTGAGAAGATCAAGGACTACCATCACTACTCAGTGCCTCACTAGTAATATAGACATGTCACCCCCCAGAGAAGCAGGCCACTGTCTCTACCCCAACACTGGTAAGCAGTGGTACAAAGATTCTGTCCAGGAAGAGCTGCAGACTATAATAACACAAAGTTCTGTAGTTCTTTCTAAGGTAACTGTATTTATTTGCAAGAAAGCTTAAGACATTCAAGCCTAAAGGCTCTGCCAAAATCATGGAGATATTGGTGGTGAGAAATTAAGAGGAGTATGGTCACTCCATGATAGCAATAAAATGAATGGTAGAGAGGCAAAAAATTTAAGAGAGAGGACAAAAGAGTGAGACACATAACAAGATCTCTGCTTGGATTCTAGCATGTCTCAAAAATTGACCTCAAAACTACCCCTATAAAGGGTCTAATTATCAAATGGATCAGATTGTGGGGCAATTTATGCCCCAAGGTAATGCCAAAGGTTAGAGTAGTCTGATATAGGGTACCGATAAAGGGATGCTAATATCCGGGAATGATACCAATAGAGCCAGACCCTCTAGAAGTTTTACGGAAGGACTGGGGAGAGAGGCATTCAAACAGAGTTTAGCTAAAAACCACAGGCATTCTCAGAAGTGGAAGTGAGGAGTCAGGAAGGCTGTATACATGACCAAGACTCTGCCTTCTGAGGGCTGACATGAGAGGCTGCACAAGGCAAGGTAAAGGCACTTCGGTGAAATAATTCAGCCAAGTCATTAAAACACTAAATAAGCAAACAGCAATGATAACAATGCCCAGTGAAGGAAGATCAGTACATAGAGTTGCTACAATGCAATATTTTAAATATTCTATTTGCAACACAAATTATGAGATATGCAAAATGACTATTTATATAGTTGGCCTAATAGCTACCACAATTTTAACTATCTTCTGTTTATTGCCTTTTTTATTTCCTTCTGTTCTCTCTGTTTTCTCCCTTCTGTTGTTTTACTTTTGAATATTTTATTTGATTTCATCATAACTGCTCACTTATCACATCCATAATATTTAAAAAAAATATTTAAGTAGTTTCCAATGAGTTTGCAATGTGCCTTTTTAAACATTCTAAGTCCTTCTTTAAGTAACACTATAGTACTTTCATATGTAGGTGTAGATGATGGGAATCATTCTGTAAACTTATGAGTAAGTCTCAGTTCTCTGGTGGGACTTGTCTTTGAGCCTGTGTCACAAGTGTGTCTCTAGTGTGACAGCTTCCCCCATCCTCCATAAGTGAGACAGGAAGTCTAAAGGGGGCTGATATGGGAGAAATATTTTCTTCTAGGTGGGAAAAATTCTTACATTTTCCCCTGGAGAGTTTTACAGGGATTATTGTAAAATAATCTGTATTTTATAGAGATCTGAGATCTCTAAGATCTTCACTAAGCACGAACCTGGAGGGGATTATTGCTGGTATAACCCATATAAATACTAGGGTCCTGTAAGATTGTGGTTCCCAGGACTTTCTCACTATCATACTAGGTCACACTGTCTCCAGCAATTCATAAGTTACCATTTACATGTTCCTACCAGTTTATTGCCAGCTTTTCATCTAGATAAGTAGCTATTAGCCATACCTCTCTGGATGTTCCTTTCTCTTAAAATTTCTGGGTGGCAGTTTACCCTGCAATCTCAGTCATCTGATGGGTTTATGAAAAGTCACTTCAGTTTGTTCAGTTTTTCTTGCTTTAAGAATAAGACTGACAATGCAGGGCATGGTGGTTCATGCCTATAATCCCAACATTTTGGGAGACTGAGGTGGGTGGATCACTTGAGGTCAGGAGTTCAAGATCAGCCTGGCCAATATGGTGAAACCTTGTCTCTACTAAAAATACAAAAATTAGCTGGGCATGGTGGTATGCACCTGTAATCCCAGCCAATCCGGAAGCTGAGGCTGGAAAATCGCTTGAACCGAGGAGGCAGAGGTTGCAGTGAGCCAAGATCATGCCACCACTGCCCTACTGCCTGGGTGACAGAGCAAGACTCCATCTAAAATAATAATAATAATAATAATAATAATAATAATAATAAATAATAAGACTGACAACTTCCAAACACTTTACATGCAATCTGAAAGCAGAAGTGACTCTGGGATTTTTTGGAGGGCAATACAAATACTCTAAAATTAGATTATGGTAATGGTTGCACTGCTTTATGAATATATTTTAAAAATCCACAGCATTGAATAGTTCATATTAAATATGTCACTATATGTCATGTGAATTACATCTCATTAAATGTGTGTAAAAATAGGTCTATTCAGAACATGTCCATAATATAACCAATAGCAATTTAATTTATTAATGGGTCTGAAGCCAACAAGAAGAGTAATACATCTAAATCATGTCTACTGTTCATCAAATTTGGCTTGGGAAAATTATTAACCCCTATTTTCTAGACTAGATATTGTAGAATTTGGTCTCCTTATGATCAATTTGCATCTCTTCATGATTCCTTAGGTATGATTGTTATTATTTACATTTCCTGAACACTATATTTTCAAATGTTTTGTAGATGCACTACAGTCTTTATTTAACATCTAATTAGAAGCTCCTATATATTCATTTGGAAGCAAAATACGTTTTACTTGTCTACTAAAACAGTGTAAAAATATAACTCTGGATTTCATCTCTGTTTTGAGATGTTTCATTCTACTTAACTTTAGTACAAGAAATCTAAAGAAACTTATGAAGCTCAACAGAACCATATTATGCTTTCTTAATGTCATTCAGTTCCAAACCACTCACTCTGGATTCCCGGAATGAATGCCTCTCAGCTTCATTCTTCAATCTCAACAAATATCTTTATTTCTCCTTCATCCTATTGCCATTTTTCTTGATAATGAGAAAAATTTCTCATTTTCTTTCCTTATGCATGAATCCAGAGTGTCTATTGGATATAGTTTAATTGTGATAACATTGTATTTTAAATGAAAACAACAACAATTTATTTGATATATTTTTTAAAGTGCATGCAACACACTGAGCAACATAGAGTGCATAGCGCAAAAATTCTGAGAACATATATGCTGGTCAGAAATCGGGGTTTCTATGTGAATGTATTCAATTTTATAATATAACTCAGTTTTAGTATAATTTACTGTGTTAGTCTGCTTGGACTACCACAACAAAATGCTGTACACTGTGTGGCCTAAACAACAGAAATTTACATCTTACAGTTCTGAAGGCTGGGAACTACCAGATCAAGGTGCTAGCAAGTAGATTTCATTCTGAGGTTTGTTCTCTTGGCTTGTAGGTGGTGACTACTTTCTCATTGTATACTCGTGTGAACTCTTTGTGTGTGAATAGAGAGGGCACTCTCTTTTCTTCTCTTATAAAGTTACCTTTTCTGTTTTATTAGGGTCCTACCCCTTATCAACTGAGTTAACCTTAATAACCTTCTGAAGACCTGAGCTCCAAACACAGTCACACTGGGGGTTAGAGTTTCAAGGTAAAAGTTTTGCGGGGACAGAATTCAGTCCATAGTATTTATAGTGGACTTTTACTTTATATGAACTTGAATATTCAGCTATTGCAGTAGTAGGAGTCTATTTAAATACTTCATATCATTGAAAATGTTTATTGGTGAAATTTTTAACCCTGATGCAGTTTAATACCTGACCTCTCTTTCCTTTTAGGATGATTACCAAGTGATTTATAATCTCTGCTATGACTAATTTTATAGTCACTTTTATAGCATAGTCATCATCTCTTAGCAGTTTCTGAATGCTTTTCTAAGGATATTTCATGTGTTGAGCCTGAAAATATCCCAATGTGATATTTGCTCCCAATTTCATTGTAGGATTTTCAAATGTAACTGAAAAAAATGGATTAAAACTGAATGTAATAAACAACTTCAAGTTCATCTGGGAGATGTATATAGAAGTTTGCAAATGGCAGAGGTCTAAAATACATGAGCAAATATTAAGTATTAGCCTAAGGGCATAATTGAAATGATTTGGATTCTAATATTTAAGCTAATGCTAACACAGTTTTTATGTGCAAAAATGTCAAATGTTTTAAGCATAGTAATATATGCAACATTGGAATTGTTATTTTCCTCTAAATTGCTAAAACAAAGAGTAACTGGAAATAACATAAAATTTTAGCCAACTGTTTTATTAGAGGAGATTTATTACAACTTCTAGGAAATAAAAACGAAACTAAGCAATAAAAAGATAACAGTAAAAAGACAAAGAAGAGCAAATGGTTTCAAGAATAACAGAGTAAATTAATCTGTAAATACTACTAAGACAATAAATCTTACTTTTGATCATTGTAATTAACAGGCATTTTTAAATTAAAAAATAGCTACATTGTTTAGATATTAAATAGTTAAAACTGAAGTATCTAACATCCAGGCATTTGAGATTCCAATACTTAAGTTCTTTTTCCTTAACTAAACTTGTGATGGGAATTAAGAAATTATTTTTAAGTATGTTAAGTTTTGAGTTACAAATGTTTTCTTTAAGGGGATAGTGTTAGCTGTCCAGGTAATTAACAGCTCTTTATTTTGTCATTTAATTCTATCAAAATACATTCAAATTAAGAAAAATAATCTATTCGACTTTACTTTGTTATTGATATTTAAAACTGTGTCCTTTATGGCAACACAACAAACTAAACGTTTAAAGTTAGAAGCAAAACATCTTCATGTGACTTGATGTTTCAAAACAGTTTTTCATACATTCCTATTTGTAGTGTTCTCAACGTGCTCTTTTTATGCTAATATTTCTTAGTTTGGCTCATGAACATTTCAAGCATAATTACAATAATTTGTTCTGTATTGGAATATTCAAAGAAGCATAGATAGCCTGTTCTGATTAAACCAAATTGAAGGAGGACATTTTTAGTTGCTCTAAATCACATGTCTCCTCAAGTTATATTCCATTTCAAAGGGTATAATTTCTCTATTTTGATTTTCAATGAAGTGGGGCATGGATTGAGACCTATATCTTAACTACTTATCCTCATGGCACACTTTCTACATAATTATATAGAGATCATAAAGTTTAAATTGAGACTTATATTCTTATAAATGGACATTAATAGAAACTGCTGACAGTGTTGTCCCAGAATAAGAGCAAAATATAAAGGAGATAAAACTATATCACGTGGGAAGACAATATAAAGGATTACCTCTCATAACTCTTCATATATTAAGAAACCAGCAATCTTCCAACAAAAAGGATGTAGTTTAAAGGGGGTAATTATCCCAAATCCAAATCCCAGCTAGCTATTTTGTAGATATTGACATATGAATTTAAAGTGCATACAAAAAGGCAAAGGTCTAGAATAGCCAACATAGTACTGAAAAAGAACAAAGTTAGAAGACTGACATTACCTGATTTCAATACTTATAAAGCCATAGTATATCAATATAGCATAGAATGGTGAAAGAATAGACACATGGATGAATAAAATCCAAAAGAAAAACTCAGAAATAGAAGAATACAAATATAGTTACCTGATATTTGGCAGAGATGCAAAGGCAATTCAATGGAGAAAAAAACATTTTCAACAGATGGTGATTAATGCAAAGTCCGTGTTCAGAAAAGAAACTTACCTAGACATAGAACTCATAGCTTATACATCACACAAAATAGATGTATCAGAACGACCTTATAATCCAGCAAAAATACATACCTTCTGGGGATATATCCAAAGGAAATAAAATCAATATCTCCAAGAGATATCTGCACTCCCACATTCATATTGGTATTATTTACAATAGCCACATATGAAAATAATCTAAATGTCTGTCAGAGGGTGAATACATACAGAAAATGTGTATGTTCAATGGAATATTATTTAGCCTTAAAAAGAAGAAAATCAATCAATTTGTGAAAACATACATGAAGTAAAGTGAAATATACAAGACAGAACAACAAATGATTTCTCTTATATGTGAAATCAAAATAAAATTTTTAAAACATAGAAACAAAAAAGAGAATAAAATGCTGTGAAAATCTAATCCTGCTTTATTATTATAAGGACATAAATGGGCATTATTTGCTTCTTGTATGATGCAACAGTAAGCATATAGCACTATGTGTTATTCCTTAAAAAAAAAAAAGACAAAGTCATATCTGAATCTATTTAATTCAACCTCTATATATAACCAGATCTAACTAGAGGTTGAATTAGATAGATTCAGGTATGTTCTTTTTCTTTCAATAAAGATCTAATACCTTTGTTGAAAATTTGATAACAGATTTTTTTGTTTGTTTCTTTCTTTGTTTTTTGAGACAGGGTCTCACTCTGGTTGCCCAGGCAGGAGAAGCGCAGCAGTGCCATCTTGGCCCACTGCAACCTCATCTCATGGGCTCAGGTGATTCTCCCACCTCAGCTTCCCAAGTAGCTGGGACTACAGGCACCCACCACCATGCACCACTAATTTTTTTGTGTTTTAAATAGGGTCAGGGTCTTGCTATGTTGCCCAGGCTGGTTTTGAGCTCCTGGACTCAGGCAATCCACCTGCCTCTGCATCCCAAAATGCTGAGATTACAAACATAAGCCACTAAGCCCAGCCTGAGAATTGACTTTCATAAGTGGTACCATAAGGTTATAATCACCAAATCCTGAATATGGGAAATTCTTCAGGGCAACTAATACATGTTTGTTTATTTATTTATTTATTTATTTTGGACAAACAAATGGCATTTTTCTCAAGAAAAATATCATTCATTACTTTATTTTGAATTCTGATTTTCAAAAAGCCAATTTTAAAATGCCATTCTTAAAACAAAGACAATTGTATACAGACTCGTTATTAGAAAAATTAAAGAATTAATGTTAAATTTTTTAGCTATGATAAAATATGTTCAAACAAAAATGGCTGTTTTTAAAAGAGCTTTATCAGTTGGAACCAGCATAAACTAAATTATTTATGAGTGAATAAATATGATATCTGATACTTGCTTTAAATTATTCCAGTTCCTTGCCTTTGCATGTATTCACTGCACCACCTTTCCCAAAAAAAAAAGAATGACAGTGGATAAATAAAAGAAGCAGGAGTGGTAAAATGACAAAATGTTGATAAATGTTAAAGCTGATTGATAGACACTAGAGGTTTTAATTATACTGTCATAACTCTCTGGTTTTATTATTAAATTTCCTTATTAAACTTTTTTGAAAAGAAAGGAAAAATATTTTCTGAAGAAACTTGGGTTTGATGTTGAGTTTTTAGACGTGATGCCAAAAGAACAATTCATCCATGAAAGAACAAATATACAAGGCAGAATTTCTTAAAATTAAAAAATTCTATTATGTAAAAGAAACCGTTAAGAAATAAAAAGAAAATGAGATATTTTCAAAACAAATATCTGAAAAAGATGTGTGCCAAAAACATACCAAGAACTCTTAAAACTTAACTTAAAATAATAAACTTAATTTTAAAATGGGCAAAATATTTAAACAAACACCTCACCAAAGACATACAGAATGCAAAGAAGTTTATGAAAAAAATGCTCAAAATCATTTACTGGTCATTAGGAAACACAGATTAAAACAATGAACTACCTCTTCACACCTATTAGAACTGCTGAAATTCAAAAACTTCACAATATCAGTTGCTGTGAGGATACCAGAGCAACAGGAGTGCAAAATAATACAGACATTTTGGAATATATTTTGGCAATTTCTTTAAAAACTAAAGTGCACTATTCACAATAGTAAAGACACAATCAACCTAGGTGGCCCTTCAGTGGTGGACTGGGTAAAGAAACTATGGTACATATACACCATGTAATACTACGCAGACATTAAAAAGAATGAAATCATGTCCTATGCAGCAACATGGATGTAGCTGGAGGCCATAATCCTAAGGAAATTAATGCAGGAACAAAAAAAAATACCACTTGTAAGTCAGAGCTAAACATTGAGCACACACGGACATAAACATGAGAACAATAGACACTGTGGACTACTAGAGAGGGGAGGAAGGGAAGGAGGCATGGGTTGAAAAACTAGATATTGGGTACAAAACTCACTACCTGTGTGATGGGATTCATACCCCAAACCTTAGTATCACATAATTTGCCCAGGTAACAAACCTCCACATTTGCCCCCTGCATCTAAAATAAAAGTTGAAATTTTGAAAAAAAAAAAAAAAAAGAAAAAGTTACATTTACATGATTCTGTTATCTATTGAGTATGCAATAAAATCATGTCTGAAAGAATCGTGTATAGAATAGTGTATATACCTTAATTATGCAGTGGCTCATGACTATAACTTTAGTATTTTCGAAAGCTGAGGAGGGAGTATTGCTTGACCCCAGGAGTTCAAGACCAGCCTGGGCAATATTGGAAGACCATGTCTCTATAAAAATATAAAATAACAAATTAGTCCAGCATGCTGGTGTGTGCCTGCAGTCCCAGCTGCTTGGGAGGCTGAATTGGGAGGATTGCTTGAGCTCAGAGGAGCTCAAGGCTGTAGTGAACTGTATCCATGCCACTGCATTCCAGCCTGTGCAACAAAGCAAGATTGTTTAGAAAACAAGAGAAAAGGCAAAACAAAATCAGTCAGTTTATTGCTACAAAATGCTGTGATCATCTGAGCTTTCAGCAAGTTTTAAACTTTTGTCTTGTGCAGGTACTTGCCTCTGTGTTGATGGCTGCTGACTGATCAGGAGGGTGTTGCTGAAGGCTGGGATGGCTGTGGCAATTTCTTAAAATAAGAGAACAATGAAGTTTATCATATCAATTGACTCTTCCTTTCATGTAAGTTCTCTCTGCAGCATGCAATACTGTTTTGTACCATTGTAGCCACAGTAGAACTTTCAAAATTGGAGTCAATCTTCTCTAATACTGCTGCTGCTTTACCAACTAAGTGTATGTAATATTCTAAATCCTTTGTTGTCATTTCAACAATGTTCACAGCATCTTCACCAAGAGTAGTTTCCTTCTCAAGTAATTACTTTCTTGGTTCATACACAAGAAGCAACTCCTCATTCACTTGAACTTTACCATGAGATTGTAGCAATCCAGTCACATCTTCAGGCTCTACTTCTAATTCTGGTTCTCTTGCTATTTCTATCATATCTGTCATTACTTCTTCTACTGAAGTCTAGAGCCCCTCAAAATTATCCATGAGTACTGGAACCAATGTCTTCCAAACTCCTGTTAATGTTGATATCTTGATCTCCTCCCATGAACCATAACTGGTCTTAATAACATCTAGAATAGTGAATCTTTTCCAGATGGTTTTCAATTTACTTTGCCCTAGTCAAGAAGAGGAATAATAGTCTATGGCAGCTATAGCCTTACAAAACTTATTTATTAAATAATAAGACTTGAAAGTCAAAATTACTCTTTGACCCATGGACTGGCTACAGAATGGATTTTTCTTTAGCAGGCAAGAAAATAACACTAATCTCTTCATAGTGTTATTTTAGCAGGCAAGAAAATAACACTAATCTCTTCAGAGGTCTTGTGTGACCAAGTGTGTTGTCAACAAGCAGTAATATTTTAAAAGACATTATTTCTTCCAAACAGTGGGCTTAAAATATGAAATAAACAATATCTAAACAGATGTGCTATCATTCATGCTTTGTTGTTTTATTTAAGGAGCACCGGCAAAGCATAATTGTTAAGGGCAGTAGGATTTTGGAAATGGTAAATGAGTATTGGCTTTAACTTAAAGTCACTACCAGCATTAGCCCTTAGCAAGAGGGTCAGCCTACCCTTTGAAGCTTTGAAGCTAGGCATTGACTTATCCTCTCTAGCTATGAAAGTCCTTAATGGCATCTTCTTCCAATATATGGCCATTTCATCTACATTAAAAATACATTGTTCATTGTAGCCACCTTCATCAATGATCTTCCCTGTATCTGGATAACTTGGTGCAACTTCATCAGCACTTACTTCTTTCCCTTTTACTTTTATATTACAAAGATGGCCTTTGTTCTTAACCCTCATTAACTAATCTCTGCTATCTTCCATCTTTTTTTTCTGGAGCTTCCACATCTCTCTCAGCCTTTATAGAATTGAAGAGAATTAGAGCCTTGTTCTGTATTTGGCTTTGGCTAAGGGAATGTTGTAGCTGGTTTTATCTGCTATCCAGACCACTCAAACTTTCTCCATATTAGCACTAAATCTGTCTCACTTTCTTATCTTCCATGTTGAATTATAGTGGCACTTTTAATTTCCTCAATAACTTTTCCTTTGCATTCACAATTTGGCTGTTCGGCACAAGAGGCTTATTTTTTTTTTTTTCCAATATAGGCTTTCCATATGCCTTCCTCACTAAACTGAATTATTTATAGCTTTTGATTTAAAATGAGATATCTGAAACTCTTTCATTCACTTGAACACTTAGAAGCCATTTTAGGGCTATTGGTTGACCTAACTTCAAAATTGCTGTGTGTCAGGGCCTAAGGAAGCTGGAGTAGAAGGAGAAAGATTGGGGGAAAGTCCATCAGTGGAGCAGTCAGAACACACACATTTATCAATTAAGTTCGTCATTTCATATGAGCATGGCTCATGGTTCCCCAAAAGAATTACAATGAAAACATCAAAAATCAGTTATCACAGATTACTAGAACAAATATAATAACAATAAAGTTTGCAGTATTTTGAGAATTACCAAAATGTGACACAGATATACAAAATTAGAGCATGCTGTTGGAAAAAATGCTGCCAATAGACTTGCTGGGTTGCCACAGCCTTCAATGTGTAAAAAATCACAATCTCTGCTAAGTGTAATAAAGGGAAGTATACCCATAAATGAAGTATTCCTGTAGATATTTATGTATAGATACTGGCTAGCATATACACGTGCATTTCTTTTCTGCCAGTTGAGATGTCCTAAATGCAATAACAAGGAGCGCGCCTAGCTCGTGGATTTTAATTTCTATTACCATTCCCTAATAAAAGAAACTAGAGATGCTTTGATAAATGGTGATTCTAAGACTGGGGCAGGAAATATACAAGATGAGCTTGGATCGCCTTGTTTCAGAAAGTAAGAAAATGCTCAAACAAAACAAAAACATAATGATGAGAGTATGTCAAATGGACACATGTGCCAATGTAAAAGCTTCCAATTGCCCAAACATGAGAATTTTGAATAAAATTGGTAAAGAAGTGTTGAGTCTTAGTGTATAATTTAATGTATAACATGCATATGCATGAGCTCATACTAATATAAATAAAAGGTTGCATAAATTAATTAATACCACCTATTCAGAATAATTCCAAATGATTTATATAGACATTATGCCTCTATGAGTTGAAGCACAATAACTCTCTCCTTAACAGTGGGCTGCACATTGTGACTTCCTTCCACAGAAGGAAGTATAAAAGGTAGAGGAGGAGAGGGGAGAGTTACTGTACAGTAGAAAATCCTGACAAATGCTACCTTAGATAGGTTATTCTATTAGTCTGTTTTGACACTGCTATAAAGATACTGCCTGAGACCAGGTAATTTATGATGAAAAAATGCTTAATTGACTCCAGCATGGCTGGAGAGGCCTCAGAAAAGTTACAATCATGGGGGAAGGTAAAGCGGAAGCAAGGCACATCTTACATGGTGCTGAGAGAGAGAGAAAGAGCGAGGGAGGAAGTGTCACACTTTAAACTATAAGATCTCCTGAGATCTCATATAAAATAAAATGCATAAACCTTTGAAAATTATAAAACCCGAAGGAAATACATAAAAGCGGAGCCTAAGTATATACCAGATGGTAATAAATGCTTTATTCCTATTATGGTATATAATCTCAAAAATGATTTATTGCTATTATCCCTGTAATATTTGTATAAATATATATAACCATAATACATTGATAATTAAGTATTAAAACCCCTGGAAAAATTATATAAAGAATTGAGTTGTAAAATCATATCACAAATATATATATTTATATAAATATATATAAATATATATATAAATATAATAAAATACAATACAATAAAATAAAAATATATAAATATATAAAAATATGTATGTATAAATATATATATTTATGTATAAATATATATTTATGTATAAATATATATATTTATGTATAAATATATATATATAAAATGCTACTTGAAGCCTCTATTGTAAGCTTTCCTGCTGGTAGGAAATGGTATTCTGATATTATCTAAATCTAATATATTAAATAATACCACCTTTAGTACATGTATCAGTGTCACATTAAACAACTCTTATATAATAAACCCCTCCAGTTTTCTTATAAATCCGAGAGCTATTTCCCTATTGCAAAACACATGAAATAGAACATTTATTGCTGTTATGCCAAATAAATGAGGTGAAACAACAAAGAAGGCTTTAAGTGAACTGTATTTTATGTCTTAAGTACACAGAAGATTAAATGAAAACCCAACTTGAAATTGATTCAGCCATTTTATTTATTCATTTTTCTGTGTAAGAAAGCGTAATCCACTCACAATAGAAAAAGCCATAGGTTTTAGTGTTCCATTATTTTGGTAGAATTAAGAAAGAATTAAACTAAAAGTAAAGAAAATAGACATGGATATAAAATCTGAATTATACAATTTATATTACAGAGAGGAAAAAGAAGAAAAGCTAATAATTTAACTCCATTGTAGATATAATAAAACCAAAGGGATTTAAATTTTATTGGGATAGTTTGCTTATATTTAAGTATATATTACAACCATATATAACATATTTTAAATATCCTATTTAAAATTTGACTTCTTGGAAATTTTGTTTCTAAACTTTTAAATGTGATTTTTTTCGGGGAGGGGTAAAGTATGCATTTGTTTTTTCATATATTGATAAATGTTTGCTGTCCTATTTCCTTAATCTGGATCTCCTCTTTATGCATTATTCTTATTTATCTAAAAGATCCATGTTCCCATAAAATAAATTTGATTGTATGAAAACATTAATTTGCGTGGACCCTGGTCAATGTTGACTGTTAAAAATGTAGCATATACTGTCACAAGCTATTGCCGAAAATCTGTTGTCACACATACTGAAAATCAGTTCAGTATTGAAATGGGTCACAATGATATGTTATTCATCTCTCCTTAAAATATTTTAACAACTATAAATCAGTTTTCTAGGACTATAGTATTATTTACATATGACACCAACAGAGTGCTCATTGAATAGTTCTGTTGATTATTCTCAAGTCTTTTTATTTTTTAATGGTAAAACTAGAAGGAGAAATTTGCTTGCCAATGACCTCTTTGTCTCTCTCAGTGATGCTAGGTTTTGTTCTCTCTTTAAAGTATTTCTCCCTTTCCATTCAACTATTGGAAAAAACGTATACAATTTTTTAAAAGAGAGAGGTAGGAAGGAACTTAGCTAACACCATTGCCTATACTAGCTACTGCTATATACTTTTTTTCTTACTGATAATCTATCTGGAAAACAAAACTAGTTTATTTCAAATTCTCCAGTCTTTCCTCTTTCAATTCCTTACTTTTTTCCCTACCTAATTGCCTGAGGAATCCATCACAGTCTCCTTCATGGAATTTATCATTACCTTAGCTTTCAGTGCATTATATTTTCCAAGTTCTTACTGTATTTATAATAGATGTTCCTAGTTCCCTCAATGTCTCATATTATTTTCCTAACCGCATTTCCAACAATACTCTGAGGTATCATTCCAGGTTAATCAGTCAAAGCAGTTGACCAACCTCATTTTTATCAGTGTCTGTATATCCTGTATGAGTAGCAAACTGGTTTAAATCTTCCCTTATCTCTTTCATTTGTTTCATCCTTTTGTTTCAGTAATATATTGTAAAATGATTATTTATAGTACTGACATTATTTCTGGAAATTTTTATTGGTAGGTTACCTAAAATGGGATGAGCATTACATACTTATGCTGTAGGATCTAGAATTCATTCAAAAATTGTAGAACTGGATCTTATCTTCCAAGTGACTGCAAACATGTTAGTTGAAATATAAAAAAAAAATTGGTATTCTGTCTGCCAAGGACGTACTGCATCATGGATTCTGTTTTTCATTCCATACATGAGAACTCTATATGAATCCAAAAAAAATCAGCCATTTCGGATAATGACATGCCTGGCTTCTAAGGATACCCAACTCTTGAAGTCTCAAAGGTTGAAGATCTGAAGCGCAGCAATAAAAAGGAGATAGTTTTATTGACAACATTTTTAAAGATATATACTCATGAATAATGTTACTTGATACTACATCACAAGATATTCCAGCCAAAATTAGCAGGCCTATCATGGCTCCTTCCGGACCATACAAATTATCTAACTAAATTGTACTTCCAACTAAGATTTGTCCTAAAGCAGGATTTACCACAGTTTCAGTCACGCTAAACCATAATCCAAATGTGTTAATACTATTGCATTACCTATGATCTCTAATTCTTATAGTTTTTACTTTCACTTCAGACCCATTAATCAATCAATCAAAATAATATGCAAAACAGAGCCGTGATGTGGGCCCATTTGGGATTTAAACTGACAGCCTTGTCTCCAGCACAAGTTTTTGTAAGATTGTTCTTACATGAACCAAGAAGCATGACCTCAGTGTATAATAGAGGACGGGGGGGACAGATGGAAAAAAACTACAGGGAATTGACTTTCTTTTTTGTAGGTTGTTTGAAAATAAATTATTATAGAGGTCTCCATTCTAGAATGGCATGAGTGGGATGTTGTCAGCTATGCACAATACCTATAACATTTTTAAAGTGGTTCAGAAAATAAAAACAATGTGTGTGTATGTGTGTGCACACACATATTTAGAGGAATAGAGATAATAAAGCCAAAGATGGAAAGAAAACCAAGTAGTACAAAATGAAAACAATGTGTAATATAGGTAAATAATATATTGGAGCTTCTTGTACTAGTCTTGCAACATTTTTAGGTGTTTCAAAATAATATGAAACATTAATTTCTAAAAACAATTTTTTAAATGTTGAAGAAAAAGATTAAGCAAGATGGAGAAGAGCCCGAGATTAGTTTGGAGAAATAGATAGGAATGGTATCTTCTATGGCCTTGTGGGGCATAGCTCATTAAGCTTCAACTTGAATAAGGTTTTTGTTTGTTTGTTTTTATTTGTTGGCTTTGTTATTGTTTAGGGTTTTCATAATAACAGCTATCAGCTGTATTATGTCAACTTTGTTTCCCAGTGGAAAGTAAGTTCATTTATTGACGTAAGTCTAACTCATAGCTTTTCCGTTGCTTTTAGATTTCACAAGTGTCTGGCTACAAAGCTTCTCCGTGTCCTGTTATGGCTCCCAAAGCATTGAGTAGACGATTGGAAAACTCTCTCATCTTACATTATTCCTCTCTGCTGTAAGTTCTGAGAGAAGAGATTGAGAAACAAAGGCAGTTCCTTCGTTGCAGCTTTTGGTGAGTTGACTTTTTTACTTATTTTTTAGACTCAATGTTTCTGAATGAGAGCAACAAAGAATATAGTCATGATAGTGAACAAGCGGAGCCATTTGTGCTACCTCTGATTACATATTAAGCTTTGTTTTTACTAAAAGAATTTAACTTTAGTTAACATTTTTTTTGTCTTTGTTAAGGCCAGCTAAATATTTTCCTCATGGTTAAATTTGATTGTATTTGTCATTTGTAACTAAAAAGTACTGTTTTAGAAAGTAGAATAGTTAGAATAGGCTTCTATTCAAGTAGTATATTTAAAAGATAAAAGTTCACATACATACCTAAAGTAATAGACAATAATATTTTAAGGCTTACAAAATTTATTATTTGATATGTAAAATACAGATATGACTAAGCAATTTATATCGTATATAAAATTATGGATATGACTGATACAGAAAATTAAATAGCAAGAAAAATAACAAAATTATGATGAACTTTTACTACGAACCTACATATGTAAATCATTAATCTTTTTAAACTGTGTCCTAGAATTGTCCATTTAAATAAAATGCCAAACCCAACATAAAATATATGAAATCTACTATGATCTGGTAAAAGTATTAATGACAGTCCTGACACCCCACCTCTTCAGATCTTCCCAATTCCCATCACCTTTAGAGATTCCTCAATTAACTTCAGAGATCTGTGGAGAAAATTTTAATACTAACCTAAATGATACTCAGTGTTTCCTATATTTCTCATTTTTCTGCCTAAGAAAATGTAAAAAAAAATAGTGTTTATAAAAAATTATATCATGGGATATTATAAAGTAAATAACACACTAGAAAACAAAATGCTTTTGATATTTTTAGAAAAACAAAATGCTATTGATATTATAGTTTTAAAAAATCAGTATATAAAATGTACCTAAAATATGATCTCTTAGAAAAACAAGAATGCTATTGATATTATAGTTTTAAAAAATCAAGATATAAAATATATTTACAATACAATTTCAATTTTATAAAAGACTACACTGAAATATTAAGTATATGAAAGTTGACAAAAATGTTAATAATTTGTATCTCTGCATTATGGAATTCTGAAATGAGGTTTACTTTATTTTGAAAATGCGTATGTTTTCTCTATTCTTTACAATGTATCACATCAATCTAACAATATTAGAAAAAGAATTAAATTTAGATCGCTCTCAATGATCACTGTAAAAATTTTGTTTAAATTTGATTTCAATTGTCTTTTTAACTCAAATTTTTTTCTAATAAAATTAATGCTGAAATCATAAAACATTACAGTTGAAGGAAAAATGTAGTTTATATATATATTATATATTTTTTTTACTTGAGTCTAGATAACATGAATGTCCCACAAAACACTGTTATTACATATTCAAACGATTTGGAAAATACCACATACTATCATTTACCTTTAGAGATGAATAATGATATTAGAATTTTTTAAGGTGAAAAAAACATATTTTTTACTTGTAGTATGAGTTAGAAGAGATTTTTAACCTAGGGCTAAAAGTCTGTGGATACAGCCCAATGCTTAGTACCCTGCTCTATTATTTTCAGAAAATGTACCTGGATGTTAAAGGCACACTAAAATGTTTATCATATACAGACAAATCATTAAATTTTATTTTTAAAAATGTATTAAATTTGCCAGAGATTTCAAAAATTATCACAAATTTGTGGACTCTCATTCTATTGCAATAATTAACTTTAAATAAGTACCTTTCAAGCCAGGTAAGCAATAAATGGGAGATGAGAAAGTGAGCAAGAAGAAAAATAAACTAAATGTGAATAATTTACTTAAAAACAATCAGAAGGAAGGCTTACCGTGTATCTGCATATGTGTTTAATTTCAATTAAATGTTTTGTTTTATGTTATTAACAATATTTTTTCATATTTTTACATATTTTAGAGGAACATTCACTCATATTCAAATGGTTACTGTTTTTTTTTTCCTTTTTCACATGAGAATTTTTATCAGTGCTTAAGTACGTAGATACCATGATGTCCTAAGGAAATTTTGCTTGTTATAACTATCTCTTTAGGGAAATAAAATTCCTACATGCTTATGAAAGATTCCATGGTCTATATTTCCCTGGAAAAAAATCTCCACTTATTTACTTTTCTTTAAAGTAAATACTACTGTCCCAATTTTATTTTTCATTCTCCAAATAAACAGTTTTTTAAAAAATAATTTGCACAAACATTATGGACTAAAGTTATAAACAACAACAAGAACAGATAATGAATTGTTCTTTCAAATGGTAGTTTAATGATCTTGCATGTGACCTTAGCAAACTTATCTTCCTCTAGATTAAACCTGGCTCTGAGCAGGTCATGTATTCTCTCGCACACGTGCAGAGTATGATGGAACAAATTCATTTTTTTAACCTGATAAATTCCAAGTTTCTCTTAAATAGCCCACTCCACTATTACCTACTCTACTCTATAAAACATTCGGTACCATTGGACAGAATTAATATATTTCCACACTGTGCTCTCAGGACACTGAACAAAAGTAACCAGTGACAAAACGTAAAATAAACTTTTTAAAACAACTCTCTCTAAGGAGTGCTGACTCTAAGGATTATTACTCTAAGGATTATTACTCTAAGGATTATTACTCTAAGGACTAATCTTAAATTATCCATTCGAGCAGATCACGTATTCAAAAATGGCCACAGAAATATTTTCAGTATCATGATCTTCCAGAAATGAGTTGGAATCTGCCTTATGTCCTCCCTTTGAATCTGGACAGAACTTCGTGTCTTAAGAAATATGTAGAAATGATGTTGTATTACTTCCTAGTCTAGGTTATAAAAAGTGATATGGCTTTCTTCTCTCTTTCCTCTTCTTCTTGCTCTCTCTTTCTCTCCCAACACATTTCCCACTGGAAATCACCTACTATGCTGTGAGAAAGCCCAAACTGGCACTCACAAAGAGAATGCATAAACAGAGGAATGGGGCCTCTAGCCAAGAGCCAGCAACACCCACTAGACATATGAGTGCACAAGCCATCAGATGACTCCAGCCTCCAGGTATCAACTCTTGCGTCTGTGCCCCAGCACATTGTGGAGTAGAGACAAGGCAATCCCACTACACTCTGTCCAAATTCCTGACTTACAAAAATCTAAGGGTATAATAAATGTTTGTAATATACTACTAAGTTTTGGGAAAATTTGTTAAACAGCCAGAGTAACAAAAATACACAATGTGGATACTAAAAGCCAGAAGACTGACGTGTTTTAGATATTTATTAAAAATAATATAAAAAAGAATTAGAGATGTGTGGAGTCAATAGAGTTGAGAATAACTAACACATACAATGAACTTAGATCTATATCGCAATATTGATAAAAGAAACAAAACTAGTAAAAGACACAACTTACAAGTCCAAATTCTTTGTTTTCTAAAATAATTTATAATTATTTTATTCATAAAAATTAGCAAAAATTCTTAATTTTTGGTAGTAAAGGAAAATTTCTTTACTCTGTTTATGTTAATATATTTTGAAAGTTCTGTTCCTTCTCTTTTGTTCATTCCTTGATTTTTTTTTCACGTGTAAATATATACTGGCATATCCATCCCTTCTATAATATCCATATTCTCTGTCATTATTAATAAACACCCTCAAAACTCACCACAAATACAGTTTAAATCAATCAAATTGCAAGCAGTTTGAATACCTGCAACATGTCTGTAAAATAGTTGGCCATATACTACCAGCTAGCTTTAGAGTGGCTTTTCTTTGTATCTTTGTGACCCTACAGCTTTCTGATCTTAGTTCTATGCCCAGGGTCAGGATATTGTGTCCTGCCAATGCTGTGGTGATGGTAGGAATTAATTCTCATTCTGTTCAACTATAAAAGTACCTTCCTGTGTTATAAGGTGATGACTGCCTTTCCCAATTGGACAGTACAAGAATGACATGACACTATCTATGTGGCATTGTAAATAGCGTTTCTGGTTGAGGGAGCTCAAAAATGTTGTTTTTTAGTTTTTTGCTGTTTTTTTGTTTGTTTTTTATTCTCAGTCACCTCTGTAATAGAAACTATGAAACCAAATTATTCTTTATTTTGTTATTATCCACCTGGCTAGAATTTAACCTTCATAATAGCAAAAAACTTGCCCCATCTTCACTTCTGTAATGCTAAGGACAATTTATTATATACAGAAAATGCTCAGTACATATTTTTGAGTAAATGTTTTGTATGGAAATCTTAAAATTAAAATTAATATCTGAAAAGAATGCTGTTCTTTCCATTCTTTCCCTCAATTATTCACTGTGCAGGTGTTCTTTAACCTATTCAACATCTGGTTTCTAACTTCACCTTTTTCTCTCAATCTATTAGACCCTATCATGTATTGTTATTTTCCCATGTAAGCTATTCTTCTTGTAGATCAATTCAACTAAGCCTCTATGTATACTCACAACTGCAGTATGTAAAACCACCAGTCCAGGGTAACTAAACTACATGCTATTTTCACCCCTTCACCAAGGCAACTGAACCTGACCAAAGAAAAATTTCATTGTGTATACAACGGATTTTTAACACCAGAAAATTTGAGGTTCGGCCTCCATGGTCTTTTAGTGTTACCATACAATTGTTCTGTTTTCCCAATAAGTTTAATCTATCATTATTTTCCAGGGTTCTTTCAAACCTTCTTCACTTACTCCACTCCCTACACCTACCACCTTTCCTCACTCTAAATAGATTATCTCTGATTTACTGAGAAGATAGAATCTATCAAACATAATCATTCCTCTGTGCCCATGTAGAAACTGATTGCCTTTTATGCCCAAAATTCCATCCATCTGTCCACACATCCTTTTTTCATATCTAATAAGTCACATTTGTCTTTCTCCACTTATGTTCTGGATAAAATCTACCATGTAAGTCAGCTACCACTTTACTAAAGATCTCCTGACAAAGTATTCCAAGTCTTTTATTATCTGGCATCTGTTACTATTGGCTCTTTAACATTTAAACACATGTTTTCTTGCACATTCTCTGAAAAATAGTTAATTTCTATATTCTGTACCTTATTCTAGGTACCAGCCTATATCTCTACATTCTTTCAGAAATTTGCTTTTTTACTTGAGGTTTTGCCTTCCATACTTCTAATGAATTCCTAAACTACTTCACTCTTTCTTTCCTTTGTTTCATTACCCAACCACTTCTTCATTGAAATAGTCAACTACTATAGCAAAAGTAAAAATGACATTATCATTTTTCTGTTTTGAAACCAGATAACACTTTAGCTTTCTACTTTTAATTGTGTCTTGATATTTTCCCTTTAATTTATTCCAGTAACACCATTCTGGATTTCCTGCTACTTCTCTAGCCACTTCTAAATTTAATTAATATGTTTCTTTTTCTCTTTAAACACTCTCAGTGCTTGTTGTCCTCTGGTAACAACCTGTTTTTCCTCTTGTTACTTTATTTCCTTGGGTGATATCTATATCCTCTTTTATTATTTAAATGATGATAAATTCTAAATATATATGTTTATCCCAGATCTATTTCATGAACTCCAGACCCATATATCCAGTTGCCTAATAGACATCTTAAACTTGGGTTTTCCATAAGCATCTTAATTATTAAAAACTCTAAAATTACCTCATAATTTTCATATCCCTTAAATTTTATTCATGACCCTATGTCTTAAATAGTTAAGCAATTAAGAGGACCTCCTATAAGGACCTTATGTTCTTAGTCTTACCAAACATCCAAAAGGAAAAGAAGATAATGCAGAATCCAAAAAGGAAAAAGTATAGGGATAATAAAATTTAACATTTCAATAAATAGCTCTGTTATGTGTATACAAACTTAAACCACATTGTAATGAATTTATTTTGAATTAACATGGGAGGCCTACAATAATGCTCTTGTCCCTTTAAAAGGATATCCCAATCATTCACATTTAAGAAACATGAAAATTGGCTACATTCTATTTCTCTCACATGAAAAAGCTTTAAAGAAAAACTGTAAACCAATCATAGACATGGTCTAAATCTGAGAAAGCTAATACTTATGGATGGACACACGACCCAAACTACAGCTGCAAGGTTTTACCCATAGTACCCCAAGGCAATGGTATACTGTAACCTCTAAGTCCACAACTCCTCCTGAGTGAGTGAGCTTAGACTTCTATCATGTAGGTTCATTGCTCATCTCTCCCTCCAAGATTTTCATTGTTCATCTTACTCCCAAGATTGCTGAATTCCCCATGGCTCTCAACCTCCATGTTATAGGACCCAATATTCTTCACCTTCAATCCACTTGCACCTTTATCTTCCTAATTCTATTTACTTTCTTGTCACTGACCCAGTATTCAATTTCCCTATTTCTGAACAATTTACACTTACCTTCTGGAGCTCTCTCTGATATTTAGCAAGTATTCTAAACACTCAGTCTCTTTTCACTTCCACCTTCTTCCTTTAAGCAAAGCGGAAGGTTTGGCTGAGGACACTCTCTCCCTTATGACCTTGAAGTGCTGATTCTTTATTGGTTCCTTTCACCATATACTTCAGAAATAACAGGCTACTCAGCTGTTGCCAGACTCTGTTCCCCTATAAAGAGCTTTTGTTCTGAGGCTTACTACCATTTTTTAGAACATTCTCTCCCTTTTCCTTCTGACATCATGTAATATTCCAGGCACTCTTGTTCATTTAATTAAGTCCTGGTAACCTAGATTTTATGTTTATTTGCTACCTGCCATCTCTATAATTCACAAATCCATTAGACTACTTACTCCTCAGTTTACCTATGTCTTATTTTCAATAAGTTTTCCTCTACTACCTTATTTATGTTCAAACCTGTCCACAGTGGTGACTTTTATACCTTCAAACCAGTATTTACCTTTTTGATCACAAATCTTTTCTATAAGCTTGCTTTACAGAATTCAGAACACAATCAGCTTTGGACTTCTTCAGGACCTACAGATTATTTCACCTGAATTTGCTTACTACCCATTGGAGAAGGCCTTAATGTTCCCATCAGCTTGACTAAATGTTAGAAAAGTTTACTTCTAACTGTAGGCACCTGAGTCCCATTTTCTTAGAGTACTTATTTTATAAAAGTTGCAATTGCATATTCTTTCTCTGTCCCTTTGAGGTGTAAATATTCTTCCACACTTTTGACAATTTTACAAGCCAGGAATGTCTTTCTCTAGGACATTCTAAGACATCCTTTGAGATCTAATCATCAAGAAAGATAGTGGCCCCGTTTCCCAGTATCTGTAGGAGTTTAAGAAGGCCAATTCACAAACAAATGGCCTAACACATTGACCAACTTCTTGTGTAAAATCCTTGAGTATTTTTCCATTGGCTCATCGCAGCACTTAAAACCTCTCCTGACTTTTGTTTTCAGTGGTTTTTCCATTCAATCTCTCTTCCCCATTGCAATAGTCTTAAATAAAGGCTTCCTTTCTGGTTTAACTTCGTTAGTGCAATTTTCCTTTGGCATCATTAATATAAACAAATTTATTTCTCAAACTGTTGAATTTCCTCAACATTCCTATGAAGAAATAAAACCAGAACATATCAACTTAAAAAAAGAGAAACCTATTACAAATCTTTTTACTTAAATAAATATGTATATATACATATATACACACTTATATATGTGTGTACATATATATAACTATTATCCTGATTCATATCATGTTCTTGTCTAAACTATCATTAGTTTTTACCTAAATTAGAGCAATAGCCTTTAAACTGGTTACATCCATTGTTGTACCTCTCTGATCAAGTCTTCATATAGCAGCCATATTCTTTATTGCAATGTAAATTTGACTATATTCTTTATCATCTTAAAAATTTTCATTGTAACCTATTTCCCTTGGAATAAAAATTACAATTTTTAACGTTTCACAAGAACTTGAAATATTTAGTCCCTGCCTATTTCTCTAACTTTATATTTTTCCTATGCTCATCCTTAGTCCATATGTTTTAATCACATTATCGTTCTTTCACTGTTAATCAAGCTACCAAAACTATTATTTTCTTAGGAACTCTGCAGATAATGCTTGATTTCCCTGAAAAGCTAAGTTGCACAAAAGTTTACCTTCATCCTAATTCTCACTCTTCCTTCAGATCATAGCTTATTTTCTCAGATGATCTTATGAATGAATAAATGAATGAATGAATGGATTAATGAATGAATGAAGAATTCAGCAAAGGCAGATATAATAGGAGGATGTCACCATTAAAATGACAGTATAATGGACATCGGGAGAATTTGATGATAAGTAAACAATGGTATGCCACTGAATAAGTTTCTCTGAAAAAAACTTGTTTGCAGATATTGGATACCTTGGAGTATTATTAGTAATTTGGCACAAGGTACTAAATTCGGAAGAATAAAATATTAAAATAAGTAATTGGTGGGGGTACAAGTTTTTGGACATGAGTGAGCTATTTTAAGAGATCGGGAAGAAGCCAAATAAAACCCAGGTCATTCTGATAGAGAAACGATCGGCAAGGAATCAAAATCTGTGTGCTGTATACGGATTGTGGATCTCTTTGATTGTAGGAGTCCGTAAATTCATTGTTCAAACCACCAGAGAAGAGATATGTTTTGGATTTAATATTTTTTTCCAGATTTTAGAAAACTATTAGAGTACATGAATTGGTTATTACTAAACAACTCTGACAAATTCTGACTCAACACTCTGTAATCATATGACTTAAATAAAATATGTGAGTATTCACACTAATTGGGATAAATATAAACTTAAATAGCCTCATTCAGGTCAGGTTTTCTATCCAAATACAATTATGACAAACTTCAAAAAATTGTATGTTATAGTTTTAGAAACTTTTAAGTTTTTAAATCACAGAAAAAAACAAAGAATATCAGCCTGTATTTTTTGAGAAACAGAATACGGAGAACAAATTGGAAATGAAGGTTAAGAGCTTCTATAAATAATTGAAAATGTAGATATATAATCCCTAGACTGTGTACAGTACGTTAAATCAGACTAGAAAGAATTACCTTCATGAAATTTACTTTTAAGATCAAATGAAAATGTGACAAAACAAAGTGAAAGAAAACAATGAGTGACTATAGTACATTCTTAAAAATCCAGAGCATTTAATTGTGCGGTAATATCCTGGTTTAATCATCAGACACTGAGTGTTTCACTTGCCTAATTTCTAAAATGGAAAACTGTCTCTGACATATCTAATGTCTGGAAAAAATATTTAATCTCAAAGTATATGCACTACAATTTGAAGGTTATGGACTCAAAACAGGAATTTTATGAAAATTAAGAAATATTCGATTAATAATATGTTTTGCACTTATGTGGAAATAATTGAGCTTTAATAAATTTAGAATAAAATAATTAAGAACTTTTATTTCCAATGGGAAACATTATTTTTATGAAAATATAATATTAAAATGTTTTTTCTGAAATACATATTATCATAGATTTTTAAATATTTAAAATGTTATGAAGTTATAATAAACCACCAAACTTAAAAGATTAATGAACATGATTAGCTTAAGTAATGCTGTCAATGTGGTTTTATATGCAAGAGCTTGATTTAAAATATCAAGTTAATTCCTTTATCACAGGGCATACAAAGATTTTTATGGAGTGCTTCCCTTTTATTTTCTATATAAAATTAATTCTTCTTCTCACGAATTTGTAGTTTAGTTGCTAATTTAATTTCAGTTCAAGATTGTATATGCCTTTTTAAATTTTTGGTCATAAACTCCCCATGCTCTTATTAACTTTGCATATTAGAGACCCCTTTTATACCTGGTATACTCTAAAAGAATCCTGAAATCTGTTTTTATCTCTACATTCAATCCTCTACTGCCATAGCACATGATCTCATGCCACTTGGATTGTTGTGGTATTTTCCTATTCAATGTTCTTTAATTTTTATAGGGTTCTGTACATGGAAATAAATAACTACTAAAATGTGTGTTTTATTTATTACTCAATTTATTGAAAACATTTGTCCAAAACCAAAACACTTAAATTAAAAAATCAAATTTATTTTGCTTTAAAATATATATGAAAAATTTGATAAATTAAAATTTCTAAAATTTGTCTATTTCACATTCATTCAGATGATTCTTTTGAAAACAGCATGTTCATTGTTAATATTAAGAAAGAAAGACACATCATCACCAGAGAAACTACAGATGCTAAAACATTTATAAGGCAATGTTAACAACACAAGTATATCAATAATTTTGACCACCTAGAACAAGGGTCAGCAAACCACATTCCATGGTCCAGTTCTTCCCACTGCCTATTTTGTATATTAGCTCATGGACTACAATCAATAGAAGAATAATATTTGAGATGTGGAAATTACATAAAATTCACATCAGTGCCCATGAATAAAGTTTCATTGTAACATAGCCACACATATCATTTTTATATATAGAAATGACAACTTTGATAACTTTCATTCTACAATGGCAGAGTTGAGTGGCTGCTATACAGACTTTTTATGTCATTGTATCACACTACTCTTCTGCATACTACAGATTTCAGTGAAGCAGTTGTAACTCTACAGTGTTTTAAGTTCAATTCCAAGTAATTGAAATATAATCCCTCAAAAGAAGAAACTAATTATTCTTATTCATTGACCTGTATTACCCAGTGTAGTAGATCTGTAATACATAAAAATATACTCTATTATCACTATTTATGAAATTTATTTTTTATTACATAAATATTTAGTTAATAATCTTGATGTTGACTCTTGGCCTACCAAGCTTAAAACATTTACTATCTGGCCCTTTAGAGAAATTTTTCTGACCCCTGGCCAGGATAAAATAGGCAAATTATTTGAAATACGAATATTTTGCCAATAAAGTGTAAGAAGAAATAGAAAATCTAAGTAATTTTTTATCTATTAAATAAATTGAATTTACAACTTAACAATTTTCCACAGAGAAAACTGCAGACACAGATGGCTTCACCAATAAAATTCCATAAACTATTTAAGGAAAATTTATAGTAATTCTATATAAACCCTCAGAAAATAGAGAAAGAGTATTTCCCAATTTATAAGACTAATATTTCTATGAACGGAAAAAATCATCACAAGAGAGAAAAACTATGGAACTATGACATTCATGAGCTTAACCTCAAAAGGAAATATATTAGCAAACCAAATCCAGGCATATATAAGATGAATAATGCTTCATGTCCAAGTGGGGTTTATTCAAATAAAGCAAGTTTTGGTTTATTATAAAAAATTCAGTGTAATTCACCATATTAAAAAGTAAAGGGGAGAAATTAGATGCCCATATTAGTAGGTAAAAACAGTTGATTAATTTAACACCTATTCACCTGAAAAATTAGGCAAACTAGCAATGTAAATAAAATTTCTGAATCTCATAATGATAGCTCTAGTTTTCATTATGCTTAATGGTGAAAGACTAAATGGTGTCCCCTTAAAATGGAGAATAAGTTTCAGAAATCTACTTATGTTCTAATCTGTTCCATAGACCTATATGATTCCCCTTATGATAATGTCAATGCCACCCTGCCTTGGTTGCTATACCTTTACCCAGTATGTCTTCAAATAAGACATTATGAATGCTCAAAATTAATTCTTTTGTGAAAGGTACTTTTTACATATAAATTTTAGAATGACATGGTCAATTTCTAATTATAAAATGCTATTGGTAGTGTGCTGAGCCTGTACACAGATTTGGAGAGAGCTGGCTTCTTAATATTATTGCTTAACATTTTATTTGCCAATTTTTTATTGCTAACAGTATATAGAAATAATGATTTTTTATAATTTTGTATTTTCCAACCTTGTTAAATTCACTCATTTCTAGTGACTTTTTATTAAGATCCTTCAAGATTTTCTAAATGCACAATTACATACTCTGTGAATAAATCAGGTTTCTTATCCCATTTTAATCTGGCTGTTTTCACTTCCTTTGATGCCTGATTGCACCAGTTAGAACTACCAATATATCAAATGCCACATAATAATGTTACATTTTACCTATATTTCTGCCATTTTTAGTGCTACGTATAACATACAAAATATCTTATGTTTTTGAGCTGCTAATCTCTAATTTGATCCTAAATACTTTCTCATTGTTTAATATTTTTACTTCCCATTTTTATGGCAATTCATATAATTAAGAGGAGCCAAAAACTTTCAAATTTTGTAAGAGTACTTACCAAAAACCCTCCACACTCAAGCCTCATCTCCAAAGACTTTCTCCCTCTATCTAGTTACCACAGTGACTTTGTCAGTGTTTCTAAAGCATGCATGCACCCTCTCAATTGTGAGTCTTCACCTTTGCTGTTTTCTCTCCATGGAACGTACTTACCCCAAGCAAGCCACATAACTCATCCTCTCATTTATTTTAGGTCTGGGCTCATACCTCCTTGTCAGTGAAATCTACCAAGACTATCCAATTTAAACATATCAATCCCTGTCGACGGCTCCCTACTCCTGCCAAGTTTTATTTTTCTCAATGTCACTTATTAACATTTGGCAAATACTTGTTTCCTTTCCATATTAGAATTTAAGTATTCTAAGTACAGGAGCAATTTGTTTGGCTCACTGTGAAATTCTCATAAATTGTAATAGTGTCTGACAAATTAAGGGTGCTCAACCAATATTGTATAGAAAAAAATGGGTGAATGACTAATATATTTATTATTGCAATGAGAACTCAAAATATTTTAAGTAGGCTCATTCAATATATTAAGTGTTAATTATAGTAATCTAATGTGCAAAATAATTTGAAGATTTATAGAAGGCTGTTTAAAATACAATATTTTGATAAACATTAAATATGTACAGAAATTATCCGAACCAAATGTAGCACTGGACATGTACTTTCAAAGTGAAATGACTGGCATGTTCCATGAGTTTATAGAATAAAAATATGAGAAACAAAATATTTCTTGGATTCTTTATGAAGCTGAAACCTCTCACCTAATATGGGCCAGAGATTTTGACATATGAGAAAGCATAGTCCTCCTTTTCTAATATTACAGAAAAACCTCTTCTCACACATTTCCTAGACGAGAAAGACTTGCTTATTTCTTTCGGTGAATAACTGAATATAATACATCCACCTTCATTTTTATAACCCAGGCTTATTTATTTACACCCCATAAAATTACTAGATTTTTTAAGTTGCAGAACGATTCATTAGAGTGCTCCTGAAATGATTACATGGTCAGCAGCAGTAGCAGAGTAATGATAGATCCAAATAGAGAGATGTAAGGAAGATAATGTTGCTGCATGGAGATGAACCCACCCAACAGGAAGCAACACAATGTATTCCCAGCCGGAGGTCAGCCTTGCAGGTTCCTCAAGGTTTATACAAGGTCATACCGCTGCCTGTGATGAGACAGCTGAGTTTGAAGGGGTCGCCAGAGAACTCCCAACCAGCTTGTAAACTGGGAGAAGTGTGCACTGGGATGGAGCCTTCGGAAGTTCGTCCAATTTGCAGCTGGGAGGAGCCTGGCCCCTCCTCCTCCTGGGTGGAACCTGGGATTCAATCTGCGAGGCGGGAAGTTCACTGGCAGGACTCTGGCTTCGCAGAGGGTCCCTGTTTCCCTTTTTTTACCCTTTTTGCCCAATAAATTGCATTTTTTCCTCACTCTCCAAAGTGTCTTGCAAGCCTAATCTCTCATGGCCATGAGACAAGACCCTGACTCGTAGGCGAACTAAGGAAAAAGCTCTACAACAGCTTTGGTTCCCAGAACATGGGGCTTGAGAAGGGGTGAGGGAAATGGGGACTCAAAACCTCACTGTCCCTGCTAAGCCTTTTCATCCTCAGACTTCTGAGGGTAGGGGAAACCATGCCCCCACCCCTGTTGCTCCTGGAGGTTGGGGGTCTTTACATGGCCTTTTCCTTCTTTTTTGGTGGTGGACAGTCAAGCGGGGGTTCCTCACTCCCCCACCCCTCCCAGCTGGGTATAGGGAAGGCCTTGCTTCCATGGCATCTTCCCCTTCCTTGGCCAAGTGGTTTAACTCCATAGGACAGTAATTAAGCTTCTCTCCCCTGGTGAAGGAACCATTTACATAAGAATAAGAGGTTCTTCCCCCAGGAATCATGTTTTCTTCTTCAACCAGATAGCAATTAACTTTTAAACCAGTTCTCTTTTCCTTTTAGAAGATGTACTTAGGATTGCCAAAATGATGGTCAATCTTCTTTAGGTTATTTTTTGTGAATAATGCTAATATATGTTCCAAAGTTGTATGGGATTTCTAAAATTCTAATGTCTGCATATATGCTATCAGTCATAATTAAGGTTGTTACGTTAAGTTATTGTAAACAACAAAGATAACCAAACTTCGTCAGTTCTGTTTCTAACATAAATACCCTGTACATTCTTCTATTTACAGACAATTGTATTGTTTTAATCCTTTTCAAAAGATGGTTTATAATAAACCATAGAACTTTGACAGGTCCTCTCAAGACAGGCTTCTGATAACTTTGGATATTGTGACATTGGAATAAAGGAAAATGTACAGGATTCATGAAGTGCTGAAATGTTCACGAATATCAAGCAAAACAAGTATTAACTAAATGGACTGAACTCAGGAAACTGAAGCAAATCTTTTTGGCTTTTGCTTGGAATATTGCTTTTTCTCATTTTGTTTTTCTGAGTCAAGGAAACTTATTTTGAACTATTTATGGCCTTTAATAATTGAGTAAGGTATATTCCTGTGAACAAAATTTGGAGCATATTTGATTCTCTCTGCTTGGTTCCTCTAGAATTTGAACAACTATCTGTGAGTATTCTTAACTTATGGCAATATAGTTGTTTGAGTCAGTGCAATAATAATCCATTTTTCTTTTTCAACAGGACACACTTGGAGAAACTGGTCATCTTACCAAGGCTTTGACTGGAAGGCTATGCTTCCCTTTAAGGAGTCAATCTCGACTTGCAGAGCCAATGAAAGCCCCTTGGAGAGACTGGCCTTATACCCTTGCCTATGCAGTCCCTATACAGGGTTCCTGACTGCAATCAGAGTAAAGAATGTCACTTTCTGACAGGTCTAGGAACTCAAAGTTTATCCTGGGACCTTAAGAGAAGAGGATCATCCAATTCACAGGTATTTGAGGATACAAACCTGTGGCTGGGTTCAGCTTTAAAAGTTCTTATCTGAGATTCCTTCTGGAATAGAGTTCCTTTAAAGCCAATACAAAAGACCTGTGTAGAAATAGTTATTATTGCTGCACTTTATGCAAATAATCAGGCTAAATATAAGACTAAAGTCTATTTTGCAAATGTAAGACTAAAGTCTATATAAAGTTGTTTGCAAAAATTATTGATTTTTGTTTTCATCAAGATCATAGATGATTTGTTTCCTTAACAAAAATGAGGACTGGAGAGAGAGAAATTATGTTTTAAAAGTTATCATACATTTGTCATTAAATTCTAAACTCATTAGTTGTTTTTAAGTTTTTGCCTACATTTTTAGATAAACCCTGCTTGTTCCTGTGAACCAACCAGCAATCTCTGGCTGCAGCTGAGAAAGAACAAAAGGGGATGGGTAAGGTAAAAGCCTGGATCAATATTCTAGTTCTGAGCAATTGTGCTGCAAATCTTGCCAGATAATGGGAATAAACAGGATGTCCATAACTTGGAGGTTTCCTTTTTGGGAAAGTAAGACTAAGGGAGCTGAACAAAGCCAAGCACCATGCCCCCAAATCCTAACAAGCATACCTATAGCCACCAGTTATCTGGGTGTGTCACAAGACATCCTTTTCCTTGTCAGAGGAGGAGTCAATTCCATAGCTTCACCTTAGCATTTGGCTTATGATAAGGAATCCACGCAACCCCCCTGTAAGACATATTTTTATCCCAAACTAATTTCTAAGCTTTGGGTCAAAGCCCTAGGAAGGGAAATTGGAACTAAGGGATCCAGAGAGAGACAATTACAGAGGTTAAAAGGCACAGCACAGGTGAGCATGGCTAATTCCTGCCAATTAAGACAGGCCTCTGGATAAAAGTCATGCTAGTATCCATGGCATAAATGAGGTCTAGGGAACTCTGAGGCTACTGTCAGTAGGTGGGATAGAGACATAGGTGAGAGCAGATAATTCCTATTCTCTAGGCCCTTTATGCTTCATGGGTGCAAGCCGCTTTGGCACCCATGGCAGCACCTGCCAAGGTCACTGGGTCTCGGGAATACAAGAATGGAAGAGAGAAAGAGGAAACTCTTCTCTCCCTCATGCACCCTGGCTATCTGCCAGGAAGAGACGGGCACCAGGGATGCCTGCTCTCCTCTCTCTAGATGGGTAGCCATTCTTCTTCAGTCTGTACCCCTTTCGAATGCATCCTGAACCTCTGGGACTCCTAAAAATGCCTTCATTTTTCTATCCTCCTCCTCTGTTCTCTCTTCGCTAACAGATAATTATGTCTCGGTACTACAGGATACTCCCCTCAGATGCATCCTTCAAACCGGAAAGAGTTAATTTCCCAAACCTTAAACTGATTGGTTTAGGATTGGTCTCAGGGGAAGGGAATCCAAAAGCCCAACCTGCCAGCGAAAAGGTAAAGTTTTGTTTGTTTGTTTGTTTTTTTCAGTTGGGCTTTTGGCCTCCCTCTCGCCATGCAAACTGGTAAAAGAGCCTGGGATTTTTGGTCTGTCCTTACCCCTCCCCTCATTTCATTTTGATACAGTTTTCCAATAACCTGGTTTGTCTGTTCTTGCCTTCATGCCATCAAACTCCAAAGGGACATGCAACGGGAGACTCAGATGACCCCTTTTGCTGGGCACCCTTAGATCGGCCTCTGAGGGAGATCTGACTGCTGTCTTTTCAAAACAGTACCCTCTGTCAGCAGAAAGCAGTTAGGATAGATATTTGTCCTTATCCTTATCTTTATTCCGAAGGCAGTTAGATGTACTTCTTTAGAGGGGGGAAAGAGACAGCCAAGTATAAAGGGGTTACTGAGAACCCCCCACTGCCTGTGCACTGGGAGGAGTGTGCACTGGGGTAGAGCCTCAGCAAGTTCATGCTGTTTGCAGTGCAGTGGAGCCTGGTCCCTCCTCTTCCTGGGTGGCAACAGGGATTCAATCTGCGAGACAGGAAGTTCACTGGCAGGACTTTGGCTTTGTGGAGGGTCCCTGTTTCCCCTTTTTTTCCCAATAAATTCCTTTTTTTCTCACTTTTCAAAGTGTCTGCGAGTCTAATCTCTGACGAAGAACCTGGCTGTCAGCCGAACTAAGGAAAAAGTCCTACAACTGTGATACTTGCCTATGCCTGGTGAATTCCATCTCAGCTTCAAAAAGTTGATGATTTCTGGCTAGGAAGCTGCCCTTTTATCATTATTCTAAAAGAACTGACATTAATAATCTATTACTTTTTAATGAAATGTAAACAATAGAAAGCCTTTATTATCAACAAAGACACACTTTTTTTTTCTGTAGTTACGGAAATAATTTGTGAGGAAAACAGAAGAGGTATACAAGTATCCTTAAACAGATTCTTTACCTTCTGCTATAAAGCATCTAAGAAAATCTACTTACCAAGTAAAATGTATAAACCTGTAAAAAGACAAAACTCACAATACAATGTGCTGATAGTAAAGTCTATGTATATATATTTCGCTAGGTAAGTATTAAAATAATAGGACAGGTCAAAAAATTGAAAGATATAAAACTTAGATATTTTTAAAATGTACACTTCAAAAAGAGTGAACGATATTATAGGAAAAAAAGCAACAAATAACAAATAATGCAGTGAAATTTCTTCCCACTATCATTAGATCATTATTTGATTTCTGACACCAAAATTATTGCCCCACCATTTATATATATGTGTGTTTATCAGTACACACACACACATACATACACGTACATACAAGATTTATATATATATATATACACTCTTAGTAGATGGAAGGTAAATTGTTTGTCTTCAAAAACTAGAGTGTTATTTAGCAAGCAAGCTGGAGGATTTACTTATTATTTACTTTTATAACTATTTCTGTGAGTTAGGTCCACATGCTGCTGTTTAGTGTTGCCAACATTAACATTATTCAGCCCTTTTGGTAATAATAGTTCCAGGATAATTATGTAGATAAAGTACGTCTTTATTATAGGGTTTTCTATAATGTAGAGCCTTATAATGTAGAACTATTTAACTCTCTTTTGTCTCATCTTTAATACCTCTTTTCATTGAGAAACTTTAGACAACTCCGGGTTGAAACTGAGTAAAAATCAACTAAATTTAAAAATAAAAGTTTAATTTCAGAGTGGCAAGTGTCTCATTTTTAAGAAATGAATACTTGTAAGTGAACTTCAGGAAACATATATTTTTATAAAAAAACACCTGAATGAAATTATCTACTATTAAAAACATTATCGATGCAATTTTATGTAAGTATAGATTTTTAACTTTACAAGAAAGTCCTTTGACATATTATTATATTTTCATAATACCGGTAGGATTTTTTTCTGATTAACAGTATTTGTGAACCATTTATTGAAAACAGAAGCATTTTTTTCTGATTAACAGTATTTATGAACCATTTATTGAAAGCAGTAGCTTTTTTTTCTGATTAACAGTATTTATGAACCACTTATTGAAAACAAGGGAAATTGGAAAAAGATGGAGAAATCTCAATGAAGAATTGGTAAACATGGAAGCAGAAATGTAAAGGTCAAAATTAGCATTCCTAGCCAGATACCTTAAGATCTTTTATTATTTTACTCAATCTGTTTAAATATTTTTATGTTAAAAAGTCAGAGTGGTACATATTAAAATTTTACAGTGCAGTTCGTCTTCCACAAGCACAGGCCAACAAAAAACTGAGACACAGAGAGAAACCAGAGTTACTATAAGTTAGATTGTCAAATTAACTATGACATGCTACATCTTTTGTATTCTAGACTTAAATTTTAAGAAGGAACCTTACATACCCAATATGATAGGCAGAATAAGAACTTCCCACTCAGATGCTGGCATCTGTCCACATCTTAATTCTGGAACATATGAACATATTATATCATATGACAGAGAAGAAGTAATGTGGCAGAAGGAATTAAGGTTGCTAATCAGATGAATTTAATATAGATAGATTATATTGGATTATCTAGGTGGGCCCAATAATCACGAGGATGTTAAATGCAAAAGAGGAGAGAAGTGACAGTATTTGAGTGACACAATGAGAGAAAGACCACTGGATATTGCTTAGACAATCGAAAAGGCCAGGAGTCAGGGAAATGCAGGCAGTCTGTGAAAGCTATGAAAGGTAAGAAATCAGTTTCTCCTTTTAGAGCCCCTTGGGGGAAAAAAAAATGCTCTACTAACACATTGGTTTTTAGCTCAGTTAGATGGGAGGTGAATTCATGTAAGATTTCTGACCTACAGACTGTAAAATAACAAATTCTTGTTACTAAATGTGTAATAATTTGTTACAGCAGCAATGGAAAATGAGTAATTCACCAGAAACATGTAAATATTAAAGAAAAGATTTGGTGTGAACCAAATTTATAAACTATTTTTGTAAAAATTAATGTATAATAAACTGAAAAATTAAAACTAGTCATTAAGCTGTTTTTGAATGTATTTTTATATCTACACGTTTTAAGATTCTCATTTCCTGTGTTAGCTCAGATCACTTCTGAAAAGCTCAAGATAAAACTAACATGTCACATTGTTCAGGTTTGTATGAAATTATATAAAACTACTTTTGAGATGTAATACCTAATATTCACATAATCAAATGTAAAAATCTTAAGTGAATAGTTTATATTTAATTAATATTTAAATTTTGAGTGATTTAGAACATTAACTGGCTTTAGAACCTTAAATGGATTTATATCATTAAAAACCTCACATCTTTTTTATTCTTCCTCCCAGCTAATATTTCTATGGCAATAAACTACTATTTTGAGTTGTAGTATTTTGATTTGTTTTGACAGTTTTTGAACTTTATTTATGTAAATGAAATCCGCACAGTATGCACTCTTTTTTTCCTAGGATCTATGGCTTAATTTCATATATGCCTTAATCATTATGTTGTTGTTTCAAGTAGTTCATTCTTTTTGATTGCTGTAAGGTATTTTGATGTATGGATTTATTATAATACAGAGGAAATTAAGGTTGCTAATCAGTCGACATGAAAATATAGAGAGTATTCTGAATTATCCAGGTGGTCCCAGTGTAATCAATCATAAGGATCCTCAAATGTGGAAGAGGATGCTACATGCACATACACACTCCTGTTGGGATTATGATGAATGCGTCGAATCGTTGAAAAATTGACATCTTTAAAATATGATCATCTTTTCAATGTGTCCTCCAATCTATAAAATGTTATTACCTCCATTTATTTAGGGTTTTAATTTATTTTAAATATCTCTTATATGTTTTCTTGTATCTAATGTTCATACATAAAGAAGACAACAAAGATAAAAATTCATACTCAGGACTCAGTCACTCTGGTACTATAGAATTTTAAATTTGTACCAGTGATATTATTTGAAATACTTTTCTGTGATAAGAAAATGGTAACTGAACACAAAATTTCAATGATCTATTTTATATATTTTGAAAAAATTTCAATATATATTGAAAAAAATTTCAGTGATCTATTTTATATATTTTGATGCTAAAATAGATTATTAATTTTATCAACTGCAAACAAGGGCTTAATAACACCAAATTTAACCATGTATATATGTGGTAGAAGACATACCTTTTTGTGACATTCTGCTGTACTTGTAAAGGAAAATTATTCTGCAATTGTAAATTACATTTTTCCATCTATGCTGTCTTAAAACCTGCAATATAACCTATAATTTCTCTGATTGGAATGATTGCTTGAAAAATAGTGTCTGTGTATGAAATGACACTTCTATGAAATTACATGATAAAAAGTTAAACAGTATATACCTTTCACTTTTTGCTTCCTCTTTTTGTTCTTCTAACTAAACATATATGTATATATAAATAAACTAGATATTATACACATCTATAAATATATATGCAGTATATTTATACATCCTCTTCTAGAAGACATTTGGTGAGGATATTATTATTCATTCTTGAATTGATCTCTCCATTCTCAACAACTAATTCATCATTGTCATTTCTGGAGTTAACAATTATTTATTTCTTTTTCAAAATTTTTCTATTAATTACTATTTTTTCTTAATTTCTGTATCAGCTTTTCAAATACATGAAAATGTTTTATTCTTTTACAAATGCCTAAACATATTGACAACCTACCAGTTTCAGAGCTCACAGTGTCCTGTTCTAATCTGAAATGTAGGTAAATTTCCAAACCTGGTTCTAGGACTTCCATCCGTTATTCTTTTCCTCCTTTTGACACTTGATTCTTTTTTAAAGCAATGTGTATTAGTCCATTTTCTCAGTGCTATAAAGAACTACCTGAGACTGGGTAATTCATTAAAAATAGAGGTTTAATTAATTCACAGTTCCACATGGCTGGGGAGGCCTCAGGAAATTTACAATCGTGGTGGAAGGTAAAGGGGAAGCAAGGCATGTTTTCTCAATGGCAGCAGGAGAGAGAGAAAGAGAGAGAAAGAGAGCAAGAAGGTAGAAGTATCACACACTTTCAAACAACCAGATCTTGTGAGAAGTCACTCACTATCACAAGAACAGCAAGAGGAAAGTTCACCCCCATGATTCAATTACCTCCCATCAGGCCCCTCCTCAACACATGGAAATTACAATAGGAGATGAGATTTGGGTGGGGACACAGAGCCAAACCATATTACAATATTATTTTTTTTTCTTGGTTCATCTTTTGTTTTCTGAATCAGAATACTTGATTCATAGGGACAGCTATACAGGACATAAAATTTTGAATCTTTTTACACCATTTTTTAAAATGTTTAAAGTTCAGGGGTAAATGTGCAGGATGTGCAGGTTTGTTTTGTAAGTAAACATGTGCCATGGGGGTTTGTTGTACAGATGACTTCATCACCCAGGTATTAAGCCTAGTATCCATTAGTTATTTTTCCTAATCATTTCCCTCCTCCCACCTTCCACCCTCCAGTAGGCCCCAGTGTATGGTGTTCCCCTCTATGTGCCCTTGTGTTCTCATCATTTAGCTCCCACTTATAAGTAAGAACCTACCTTATTTGGCTTTCTCTTCCTGCGTTAGTTTGCTAAGGACAACATCCGTCATCTTCATTTGTATCCCTGCAAAAGATATAATCTCATTCTTTTTCTGGCTGCATAGTATTCCATGGTGTATATGCACCACATTTTCTTTACCCAATCTATCATTAATTAGCATTTAGGTTGATTCCACATCTTTACTATTGTGAATAGTGCTGCAAAGAACATTCATGTCCATGTGTCCTGTGGTAGAATGATTTATATTCCTCTGGGTATGCACCAAGTAATGGGATTGCTGGATCCAATAGTAGTTCTGCTTTTAGCTCTTTGAGGAATTGCTGTACTGCTTCCCACAATGGTTTGACTAATTTACACTCCCAACAACAGTGTATGAGTGTTCACTTTTCTCTGCAACCTCTTAAGCATCTGTTATTTTTTGTCTTTTTAATAATAGCCATTCTGATTGTGTGAGATGGTATCTCATTGTGGTTTGGGTTTGCATTTCTCTAATAATCAGTAATTTTGAACTTTTTTTCATATGTTTGTTGGCCACATGTATGTCTTCTTTTGAAAAGTGTCTGTTCATGTCCTTTGCCGACCTTTTAATGCAGTTGTTTGTTTTTCTCTTGTAAATTTGTTTAAGTTCCTTATAGATGCTGGATATTAAACCTTTATTTTTTGGCCTATTCTCTGTCTTTGTCATTTATTCTGTTACCTTGAACTTATATGACAATTTTATTTAAACATTTTAGTATGTCCTAAATGTTTAAAGGTGATGTCCTCAAAATATTTGTTATAGCATTATAATCTTGTTTTACAGAAACAAAAATATCTTACTTCTCTGAATATACTCCTTATATTAAGTTTTGTTCCTTCTGAACGTGTGTTTGGTTTTTTTGTTTGTTTTTTCATTTTGATTTGTTCTTCACTTCCTTTCAAGTGCAAGGAGCTACTTAAATGTTAAGTGATCTTCAACTCTCTTTGCTATTTAATATTGAAGCACTGAACAGGTGACTGGGAGCTCCGTGTATATAGAATAGTGTGTGAAGGATTTGACAACCAGTGGGCTTTCATGGTTTGTGTAATTCAACATTCTTATTTGCAGACTCCCAGGTCCCAGATGTGAAAATCTATTTTCGAAGTGTAGTTCCATTTCTGCAAGTTTTGGGGATAGGGGAAATGGGCTATATGCCCGTTTATCTATTTTAAGAAAGTAAAATAGGAAAAGGAAGGCCAAAACTTCCATAGTTCACTTTATAAAATATAATTAAATATAACTTCAAACCCCTTGTCCTGTGCCTGACATGAATTTAGTGGCCTCTGTTGTCTGGAGTCCTCAGGTTTAATGTCTCCTGTGAATAAACCTCTATTTTCCTATTAAGAACACAAAGGCTTAGGTATCTGGATACTTGGTAGATAATATTTTGTTTACTTCAAGTTCAGAGTATTTCAGGGGTTCTGTAAGTAAACTGATACCTATATTAATCTCCTCCTTTTACATACTTCAATTATAACTTCTTTGGCTCTCATAGTCAATTCACATTTTTCCTTCTAGTTTCTATCTTCAAATAGTATTTTAAATATTTTATTCACTTATTTCTCTCTCTGCTTCTCTTTATTATTGTGGGATAATAAAACCTTTATTCCTCAAATACCAATGTATTAAGGTTTGTGAACAATCAGCTATTAAATGTGTACCACATTTTTCTGGAAATCTGCCTCTATGTTCCTTACAAAGAAATCTCAACAATTATTATAGGTTTAAAAGTTCCAAATCTATGCAGGTAATTCCCAACCTGACACTCCAGTCATGTCATCACTATTATCTATTCTACTGTATACATGACATCTCATTAGTCTGTTGTCACTTCAAATGCTACATGCTTTAATACAAATGTGTAAATTCTCCAACTTCTTACTCCTTATATATTTGCTTTGTTTTGGTTAATGATATCACTTTTGTCTCTATTCTCTGCATAAAACATATTTTTGGTGGTTTTTATTCTTGCTCCATAGTTAGTCACAATGCTTTATTAATTCATCTTTCTTTCCTGTCTCAGTGCCATTGTCTTATTTCCAAGATCTCTTATTCCATGCTTCATTAAGCACTTAACCAGAGTTTAGTGTCGTTATTTGTAAATGAAAAAGGTAGGACCCAAAAGCAGTAAATATTACTTTTTATACCAAGCAAATATATATGCTTTACATGCACAACTTACTTTAATGCTCACAATGTTCTTGTGATATACTTTTTCTCATTTTGGAGATCAATCCTGATCTCCAAGCACTAAGTGTATTCACTATTCTGACTTCAGACACTAATAAATAATTTTACCTGATCTTCATATAAAATGTATATCATACTGTAATGTAAAATCATACCACATGTATTCTTTGGGTATGACTTGTTTTGCTGGAAAAGAATGTCTGTAGCTTTATCCCTGTCATTATAGTTATGTATTTTTTGCTTTATCTGTTCTCTTATTAATGACATTTAATTTTTTTCCATTTTAAAATATTATGAGTATTATTGTTATTAATATTCTTGTACATGTGATTTGATGGATATACATAACATTTCTTAAGTATTTAGAAATAATATTAGTAGCTTAAGTGTGTTTTTCAATTATTGCTGCTTCTGTTTAACTGTGTCTAGAATCATTTAAATACTCAATGGACCTAGATATTAAAAATAACTTAATCACGTGACTTATACTGAATCCTGACTGTCACTGATATGAACACTGAGATCCAGGAGGGAGTTCCCAAAAGTAAGCTTTCCAAATATCAAGGAGGAAGTTGCAAGGCTTCAGATGACATAGCCTTAGAAGTTTCAAAAAAATCGCAACTGCTTCATTCAATTGTTTCAGCCAGCAACAAAGGGCAGGCCAAATTCAACTACAATTAACACAAAGGTCTGAATAGTAGGAGTCACAGTACATTAAGAAGTCATTGTTAGAGATGAACTAACAAACATATGTTTACCGTTTGTAAACTGTTGAACAGTTTTTCAAAATAGTTGCACCAATACATGGGTGTTGCAGTTCCTCCACACCCTAATTAATACTTGAAGTTTTCAGTACACACTTTCAATTTTATCCATCCTAGTGAATGTAAATAAGCATATTTTTGAGGCTATAATCTGCATTTTTAAAATGAGTATGTTGCTGAGGAGGTCAGGATTCTTACTGACCACTTGAAAATCTTCTTATGTGGCATATCTATATAAATTTGTCCCCTGTTTCTGTGTTTTAATTCTTCTGCATATTTATTTTTAGGAGCTCTTTATATATTTGAGGTATACATTCCATGTTAAATATATCCTTTGCTCATGTTGTATGCTAGTATGTGGCTTGTTTTGCTTCTTCATAATTGTATCTTTTAGGAGAAAAGTTTTAATTATAATAAGGTCCACAATATGTTTCTTTTATATCTAGTGTTTTGTATTCTATTTAGGATATTTTGACCAGGCGCAGTGTTTCATGCCTGTAATCTCAGCACTGTACTTTGGGAGCCCAAGGCAGGATGATTGCTTGAGTTCAGGAGTTGAAAACCAGCCTGAGCAACATACTGAGACCTCATCTTAAAAAAAGTAATAATAAAAATTAGACAGGCATGGTAGCACATGCCTGTAGTTCTGGCTACTAATGATGCTGAGGTGGAAGGATAGCCTGAGTCCAAGAGGTCAAGGCTGCAATAAGCCATGATTGCACCATTTTAGCATAGATGACAGAGCAAGACTTTCTCTCTCTCTCTCTCTCTCTCTCTCTATATATATATATAGAGAGAGAGAGTATATAGAGAGTATACATATATATAATATACTCTATTATACATCATATATATAATATACTCTATTATACATCATATATAATATACTCTATTATACATCATATATAATATACTCTATTATACATCATATATAATATACTCTATTATACATCATATATAATATACTCTATTATACATCATATATAATATACTCTATTATACATCATATATAATATACTCTATTATACATCATATATAATATACTCTATTATACATCATATATAATATACTCTATTATACATCATATATAATATACTCTATTATATATCATATATAATATACTCTATTGTATATTATATAATATACTCTATTGTATATTATATAATATACTCTATTGTAT